>NW_003315954.1:0-223995 GCF_000001405.40 Homo sapiens | reverse complement strand
GAATTCCTTTTCTTATATTTTAAAATGTTAACTAATTTAATATTTCTTCTTTGCCAGAGCAAAATTAGAGAGAAGTAAAGTTTTCTTTGACCCCTAGCATCTCTCTGCTATTCTTTTTGATAATATTTATAGTTCTGTTGGCCTCCATTACAATAATACCCCCTATTTTTTTGGGTAAATGAAATAGAAGATCTAATACTAATACACTGACATCCATGATGTTTCCAAGATAGGGAGGATTATGAGAGAATTTATAAATGTTTTAAAATTAGGCAATAATACTTAAGATTATTTTTCTAAAAAAAATAGAGCTAATACCTTGATTTCCTAATATGAAGTAAGAATTTTTTTTTTTTTTTTACGTTTCAACTGTCAAATAAAACTCTCAAATTTTCCTGGTGTGTTAGTTCAAAATAAATGTGCACTTGTTTCATTATCACAAGATTCTCTAACTATCCTCTCCATATTTATTTCACTAATATGATAAGCATTGACGTCAATACTCTTTCCTTGCTTCCAACTCTATTCACTCCATGATGGTATCAAATCGTTTCCTGAATGAGAGAAAAAATCATAAATATTTTATTGTGGTCGAATCATGATGTCAAGTGCTTCCTGATTGTCTCTTTGAACTGTTTATTTTTTGCTTTTTAATGGGCCGTGGTTTGGTAAGAGTGTGTTGAATGAATGAGATTTTTGGATGTTGACATTAGTCATGCCATTTGGAATATTTCAAACATGAGTTTAATTTTACCTGGCCTAATATTTTTATTTTCTGCAGGTTGCAGTATATTACTTCTAATATACAGCAAATATTCATTTGTTTTATACTTATGAATTATATTTTCACTTTGTATCCAACTTAATGTCTATTGAGGTATAAATTAGTTGTTTTTAAGGTACTCTGTTCAATGGCCTGTACCAGCCAAAGAAGGCTTCTAGCTATTTACCTTTGACTACGGTATTTTACTCCAAGAAATTTCAAGTTTAGTTTTAGGAGAAACAAATCTTCTAGACCCTTGATAGCTTCTAACGGAATTGTTCAGTATCATAATATACTAGCTAATTCTTAAAAGGCAGTTTGGAACATCTTAGGATTCAGAAAAAGACTATTTAAAATGCAAATACTAAATACTACTCAGCATTTATCTAACGTTAATGCTAACACTAGACCTCAGCATGAAAGTTCATGCAGCCAAGCTGGGACTGAAAATACCTGTAAAATATTCACAGTAGTATAATTAATAGGATGATTTTTAAATAGGGCACATTTATTTTAAAATTATAATAATAATAATTATTACTTTTCAAATAAAGCTCTCAGTTTTGCTAAATCATAATAGTGGATTCTTCTACAATAACCTTCATTCGAAAACATGTACATGTCTAAGAAGTAAATTAGATTTCTGTAAATTACTCGGTTTTCACTTTATTGATATAAACTCTAAAATTGATAATTAAATCAGAATTCTCTGTTAAGAACTATATCTAAATTAGTGATGGCCTGTTTGATGGAAAAATGGACTTTTTACTGTTCAAAAGCAAAACATAAATTTTAAAGGCTATTCTCACAAAGCACATAAGTCATAAAATACAGTACAGAGTCAAATATCCAACTCCAATCCATATCAGTCCTCTAACATAGTTAAAACTCAAAGATCCAAGTTTCAATTTGTAAAACTCTGGGGCCCCTTACAGCAGTTTTAGGGATTATTTGAATTTTAAAATGTTAAATTCTGACTTTACAATACTAGCAAGAACTGTAGTTTATGAAAAATAAATTGAAATTCTGGTGTGCTTGTCCACCATTATTATTCACTCCTTATCCCTCCCAATTCACTCTCTGCCTGCTTTCTGCCTAGGGAGCTTAATTCTAAGGACCGCACAACCTAGGGTCTTTTTCATTGGTTTTTGCTGAGATCACCCAGTGAGAGTTACCAGGCAGAATAAATAGTAGTCATATATCCCCTTCCACTTTTTGGCTGGGTTGTCTGTCTTTAACCGTAGCTTTTGCAGGATAACCCTTCTCCATCGTCTATAACTGTCATAAGATTTGAGTAACACAACTTTCTCCCCTCTTATCTGCAGGCTTAGGAAGTTTCTGGCTGAGCTTCCTACTATTGGCGAGTTTCTGGGCACTCTGCCATCCCCTCATGATTCTGTTGAACCTACCCTTACATCAGCAAATATTTCTTTTATTGAACTCTCTTCAACTAGCTCTTTGAGTTAATTAATTGTGTCATCTGTTCCCTGCCAGAACTCTGCCTAGTATACCTGGTTTGGTCTTCCTCATTGCCACCCCCAGATAAATTGGTCACTCAGCCACTCAGCACCATTCCTTCCATCAGTAGTGTAATAATAACAATAATACCAGCAAAATGATACTAGCTTACTACATGCCAGAGTGAGTGGTTCAGGCATGCTAGAAAATCTGCCAGGTATTTTATCGTTATCAATTACATGCTCACAGGCATCCTAGGAAACAACTACAATAGTTATTTCCAATTTACAGATGAAGTAAGTAACTTAACTGAAGTCTTGGCCAGTAAATTGTGAAGCAGAGCTTCAACCCTTGAACACTGACTGTAAAAATTATACTTTGAACTGCTTGACTCTCATTCTTGTCTGTAACCAGCTTCCTAAATGGCTGAAGTGACTGGTGAAACGAGGAGATTTTTACCTTAAAATCTGAGCATTCACTTTGAATCTAAGCATTCCCTTTATCTTAAAAAACCAAGCATTCCTTTTATCTTAAAATTTTATACCTCCATGATTAAAATATGACATCCAAAATACTAAAATTAAACGAAGAAGCATCTCTACTATGAATAAGATATATTATCTACAAATAGTTGGTAACTTGGAAGCACAGAGTGACTGGCATACAATCTGAACATATGTGCTATTGGACAGAGAAGATCTCATAAAAATGACTATTTCTGACATAAACAAGGATGGCAGCGACGAGACTCAGACTTGCGGAATGTAGCTAAAGGCTCCAAAGTTGTAGGGGAGTAGTGGAAAAAGGAAGGACAGACCAAAAGAGAATCCATCAATAGCAGCTCTTCAGAGTTTGATAGCCTGGGTCGGAGGATACACACCACCTGTTTTGCATACTTATCCAAGGCCTGTCTTTCTAATTCAAGCTTCCATTTTATTTTCCCCAATATCATCCACAACAGTATTTGTGAGTTTAATGAAATGCTGAAGGACTATATTCTTTAGAGCAATGGCCCTGAGAGATTTGTATTATCATCACCAAGAATCACTTTTAGCCTAAGGATTTTAGAAACAGAACCAAAATTATCCACTGCTTTGGGTTGGACTGGTATCATCTTTTTAAAGAGTACCTTGCAATTCTGTACTTTAAGACTTTCCTTATTCATTGCATTCTTTCAATTTTTATTTTCCTTTCTATTTTTTTTCCTTTCTCTGATTTACTTATTCTCTCATCTTTAAATCTTTCTTTCCCTGAGCCTCAGCTGATAGGAGTTTCAGGAATCGGAGCTATCTATCAGTTGAACTCTTCACCGATGACAACAGTAATGACAAGAGCACCTGGAAGTCCTGTTCTCCAAGGTGAGTAATGCTATCCCTTATTGTGTTCCCAGCCTTTTATGTTCTCTCTTCTTATCAGGAAACAATGTTTCTCATTCAATTTTAAAAGTCAACAGATTAGAATGGAAGTCAGACAAAAGCAATGCTGTGCGACCGTCCAGTTCCAACTCAGCTTTCATGACAAGGCCTTCGTACCCCTTGGACAAAGGTGTATTTAGAATTTGAATTTAGAAATGTGCCTGTACTAATACGATTTCCATCTGATGTAAACAAGTATCGTTCCCTCAAACAGCACTTCTCTTTAAAATAAATAGTAGCATGATATATTTAAGGATTTTTTTTTTTCTGCTTTGACTATTAGAACAAAAAACAAAGAGCTGCCTAGATAGTCAAAAAACAGTGGGACATCCGTTCTTGCCAGTTAAGGCATCTCTTTAATCACTTAGGAAGAAAAACACTGACGATAATTTTTAAGACACGTTGTCAAAAGTGTTCAAATGAATAAAGGCTTGGGAGTACCTAGTACTAAGGAAAATGGCGTGAGAGCCTAAATCAGAATGGAGACTCACAGAGAAAACCTCACTTCTCCCATCATGTGTTAACCAAGTGTTTCCAAAAAGGCATAGATATGCCTTTTTGATTATAATAGGTGTTTATTTTAATGAGTTTAAGAAAATATTTAAATAACCCACTGAATTTAGGATTTCACTCTACTGAGGTTATGAGACAAAGAAATAATTTACATTACATTAAAAGTTTCACTTTAGAGAGAATGTCAGTACCCACGACATTAACATAGAGCAAACACATGATTGTATATGGTTGACAGAAATTTAGGCACCATGTTCTATCCTAAGCATTAGATATACATTGCCACCTAATTTTAAGGCAAAACAAACCTGCTCTATTATAGGAGCATATATTAAGATATTCTCCAGTGAACACACGTGTTAAAGCCTCAGTTGCATTGTCATGCTTTAGTGTTTCATTGGTTCACAAATAGTGATTCACACACAAAAAGTCATTCATTTTAAGAGAAAATTATGTTTTCTTTAAAAAAAATCAAAAACAGGAAATAAAAACATTTTATTAGAAACAACAGCAACAAAAAATTTCCTTGGTGGAATGCTTGACTGCTGGTCTTGTCATGACGTCATAAAATCACTCTTGCTTTTGTGGAAATGGTTTTTCCACAGTGCAAAGATCTGATCTGGTTTATTTCAAAAGGTCAGGCTTGATTTTTGAACACCAATGTCTGTCTTTCTGTCTGTCCACCAAAGCACTGGACTTCATTTTTTATGTGAACAAAATGAAAATGAATGTGGAAGAAATGTGGAAAGGGATGAGCGGTACGTCATTCTTCGCTCTTCCAAGAAATAAAGATATTCTTCCACGATGGTTGAGGGGCAAACAGTTGGTAAAATTCCAGAATACCAAGTCACAAAGCAGAGGTACTGGGGATTTTAGATGTTGATAGAATCCGGAGTGAAAAAAAAAAAAGTTGGCTGCAAAGGAAGAGGAAAGGAAAGAGAATCCTGTGACAGTTACTGTTCCAAATAATTCCAGTGGCCACCCTTTCCTCACCCACCCTCGTGTAGAAAAAAATGGGGAAAAATGCAGACCGCTGGGCAGCTCATCTCAGCTTCTTTGGGCTGAAAATCTATGGTGGAAATTTCATATAAAAGTGTTATTTTATGAGATTATCTGTCTTTTATTTTTATTAAAGTGGCCAAACATTCCCCTAAATAGACCTTTCCCTGGAATCTTGGAGTTTGGATTCCTGTCCTGGAAGCAAAATGCATAGAGACTGATTAAAGTGGAAGACACACACACACACACACACACACACACACACACACACACGCGTCTCTAAACATTACCCAAACTTTGATTTTTTTAAAAAATTTTCTGTCTTAGATAGTTCCACTTCATTCTTTTTCATTCAAATCCTGAAGAATTCTAAAATATTTTATATCATAAATTGGCCTGAAAGGAGTCTATGTTGTGTATATTAGTTTGGCATTATACAGAATCCCAAGAAATAAGATGTATTTGCATTTATTTCTAAAAGGTACTTATACTTCAAGGCTGGGCACAGTGGCTTGCACCTGTAATCCCATCACTTAGAGAGGCCAATACAGGAGGATTGCTTGATCCTAGGAGTCTGAGACCAGCTTGGGCAACAACGTGAGGCCCCGCTTCTACAAAAAATTTAAGAAACAAATTAGCCTGGCATGGTGGTGTACGCTTGTAGTACTAGCTACCCAGGAGACTGAGGCAGAAGGATCAACTGAGCCCAGGAGGTCGAGGCTGCAATGAACCATGATGGCGTCACTGCACTCCTGCCTGGGCAACAGAGTGAGACCCTGTCTCAAAAAAAAAAAAAAAAAAAAAAAAAGTACACTTTCAGAAAGACTTCCAAAATTGTATCAGGCTTCCTTTGTTTTAGACCTTTAAAAGGTAGAATGATATTTATACATTTTAATTTGTGATCTGTTACTACCAAAGCATTATAAAGACATAAAGTCCTAGTTTCTATTAATGTCTCTTTATTTCAGCAATGATTGATTTTTCTAACTTTAAAATTCCCCAACACAATAAAAGACACACTGTCTTGTCATGAGTCATGTTATCACTGTGATTCAGGAAGTTTATTACAAAACTAACTAAAGACACACAACATATACAAGGAAATGATATGCTTGTTTAAACAATTGCAGTTAGGAAAAATGGGGAAAATACATTTGTTTGTCATTGGTAAACAGCAGTCTCAAAACACAGATGATCAATCTTTGAAATAAATAGTAATTCTGAGAACTATAAAGATAGGAGAACAAATTTTCTTTCCATCCATCCTCTGGACAATCATTTTCCTAGACTCTTCAGAAAATAATATGTTGGATGTTGAAGATGGATGTAGTACATATGGGAACCAATAAGGCTAGATTGGAAAATGATCTTAGACTTTTTTCACATTGGGTATTGAACTGTCCTGTAATGTCATAAAGAAGGATGTGTGAAATCCAGCTGCTGAAACAACGTCTGGTGGCAGGACTACTCCTGCACTCCCCTGCTATCTCTCTACCCAGTTCTTTTATGCACTTGCCTCTTTGATCCTCTCATTTTTAAATCCCCTTCCACTTAAGGTATCTTTGCATCATGTCTCTATTACTTATTAGTGTTCATCTTGGAATATCTCAGTTTTGAATTGTGTGTGTGTGTGTGTGTGTGTGTGTGTGTGTGTAAAAGAGAAAGAGAGCAAGACAGAGAGAGATTCCTGCAGTATATCTAAGGTCCTTAATATGACACCTGGTCTGGTTCAGAGCAATGAATAAAGAGGGATCATACTAAATCCCGGAACAAAGCAACAGAGTGTGGTGCTATAACCACGTGGCATGAAATTTCTTTCTGAGCACCCATCTTGAAAGGGTGGGAACATAATTGATAGTATCTTTATAAATCAGGGACCTAAGTGCTGGTGGAGTAACCTTCCTCATGAAGATTCCTGGGAAACAGAGAGTGAGGTATTCATTGGATTTTCATTGTATAAGTATGTCAAATGATGGTGCTAAAACCAAAAATCACTACCTGGGTTCTTTTATCTTTCTTTTAATTTTAATTTTTAGTTTTGGGGTACTTGTGCAGGATGTGCAGGTCTGTTACACAGGTAAATGTGTGCCATGGTGGTTTGCTGAACCTATCGACCCATCACCCAGTTATTAAGTCCAGCATGCATTAGCTATTTTTCCTAATGCTTCCTTTCCCCACCCCACACCCCAACAGGCCCCAGTGTGTGTACCTGAAGTTCTTCAGTGTTATAAGGGTTAGGTACATGACCTGATAATTCCAACAATACTTTCCCACTTGTTTCCACTCTAATTTTTACTATTTTTTGCTGTCCTTTCAACCTCTATACCCCACTGTCTCGGTTAGGCAACCTAAAATAACATACTGGAGGATGTTATTAAAGAAGAATTAGACCACTGGGAAGTTTATATTCACATTTACTGTGGGGTTCTTTGGGAATTTAAAAGCTGATAGATATCACTGGATGCCACTTCAATTTCATGGATGCTCTGTAAGTTACTGCAATTTTTCACCATTTATATACAGCAGGGACTGAGTGGATCATGGCACAGAAAGCCAAATAGTAAAAGTAATAACTTTTTCAAGGTAGTTTCATAAGACCATTTTTTTCCCCACTAACTTCCCAGAGGCAATGATCTTACCAATCTGCTCCTTCAATCTTTGCTGTTATGTCCACTCACTTCCCCTGTCTGCAGCTTTTCCTTCCCAGTTTATAATTCATCCCTGGGCTTACAGATCTCATGACCAATCAAGGCTTATAACTTTTTTTTTTTTTTAAGCTGGAGTCTTGCTCTGTCTCCTAGGCTGGAGTGCAGTGGCACGATCTGGGCTCACTGCAACTTCCAGCTCCCGGGTTCAAGTGACTCTCCTGCCTCAGCCCCCTGAGTAGCTGGGATTACAGTTGTGTGCCACCACACCTGGCTACTTTTTGTATTTTTAGTGGGGATGGGGTTTCACCTGCCAGGCTGTTCTCGAACTCCTGGCCTCAGGTGATCCACCCGCCTCGGCCTCTCAAAGTGCTGGGATTACAGGCATGAGCCATCAGGCTCAGCCCAACGCTTATAACTTTTGCCAAATTCTCCAGTTTATCAACTTTGTATCTACTTCAAGACTTTTTAATCCATAAGTAATGAAGATATGCAATAAAAGAATAATGATCATCATCATTGTTATATTAATATAAGATTAGCTGTATGAGTTTTAGGAAACATATTTAGGCTCAACGGGTGGGACCACATGCTAATATATCCCTAATCACTCACAGAGAGTCTTTAATTCACAGTGGTTTCCCAGTGGGTCTTGTTCATTTTAACGTGATTTCACTATTAGCTAGCTGCAGAGTATGCATTATACATTATTTACCTGCTACATTACTTAAACTATTACTTTTAATAAACATTAAAACTGGAAGAGGGCAGAATGCAAAATAGTATGTAGTCCAAAAAGGCTGTGATAAAAGCATTAAGGAAATACATAAAGCAGTGGCTTACAGTCCAAATCTCTATACCATCTATGTTCCGATTTATGATACTATTTAAATTGGTAATTTGTTCAAAGGAACAATTCTGGGGGGTTCTAACTTGCGAGGTCCAGAAGGGAAGGTGTAGTTTAGAAATCTGTATTTGGAAGTTTCCAAGTTTATTCTAATTACAGTCATTCAAGGAAACGCTGGTCTCAAGTAAAGGACAATGCCGAGGCTGAGTTAGAAAACACACTGGTAGGTTTTAATGATCCATTGTTTAACAAGAGAGGACTGGATGCCTGGAGAGGCGTACCACCCCCAAAAATAGCAAAAGCAAGGAGAGGTTAAATACTGACAAATTTTACCTAATTTGTACTTTTCATAGTAGCTGATCTCATTATGTTATGTCAATTCTTTTGGTTTACATAGTTTCAAGGATGAAAGTGAGCCTTAGGTTTAGCTACTTGAAACTCAGATACTATTCAGCCTATCATACCAGTCTGGGCAAATTATTCATTTGATAAGAAAAAAAACTACCAAATGATCACATAAAATGGAATATTCTGTAAAGTGCACTTAGCATATTATGTCCCTGAATATAATCCCACTGGAAAATGTAATCAGAGGGCCTTTTAGTAACTAGAGGACCAAATAGCAGAAGCTTGTTTAATGGAACCAAAATAGGCATAAAATTCTTTAAGACTCTGTCTCAAATGCACCATGCAAGGATGCACTCTGCTCATGTATATTTCTTTTTATTTATTTATTTTTTTAGAAGGAGTCTCCCTCTGTCGCCCAAGCTGTAGCACAGTGGCGCGATCTAGGCTCACTGCAAGCTCCGCATCCCGGGATCAACGCCATTCTCCTGCCTCAGCCTCCAAAGTAGCTGGGACTAGAGGCCTGCGCTACCATGCCAGGCTAATTTTTTTTTTTTTTTTTTTTGTATTTTTAGTAGAGATGGGGTTTCACTGTGTTAGCCAGGATGGTCTCAATCTCCTGACCTCATGAACCACCCGCCTCGACCTCCCAAAGTGCTAGGATTACAGGCCTGAGCCACCGCGCCGTATTTCTAAGACTCAATTTCTTCCGTGTTCTCAGGCTGAACATTTTTCGTTGTTCTAACTGATGTATTTTTTATATAGATTTTAATATTTTATTTTAATTTGTTTCTTTTTCCCTTCTTAAAAAATGTCCCATTCTGCTTATGTGTAGATTGTAATATTTTATATTAGACTAGTGGTATGGTCCATAGAAACATTCTGACTTGTAAATATCTCCACCCTGATTTATTTTGTATTTCTCTGAAAGCATAAATCTCTTTGTCATGTTAATTTACCAACATCCCAAGGTTAAATTATCTCATGTGCTTGTAAAGAGAACATTAAGGATAAATCCCAGAGTAACTCCCCTCTTGGCTTGACATGGTCCCAAATCTACCAGGCAGGACCAGCTACATAATTTGCAAGGCCCAATGAAAAATGCAAATGTAGGAGCCCTAATCAAAAAGCAGAGAAAAAATGCCTTGGAGATATTAAAATAGAAATTTTTTTCTTTAAAATATATAAACTTACAAAATGTAATAGGGATAATAGCGATACATGAGTATATCATAACAATGTAAACTTGTGAATTACAAAAAAGTGATTTTGAGGTCATAATTTTATATAATAAACTAAATAATAATACTTTGTAATGTGGTATCTTAATAAGAAAATGTTTTTGGTTCACTTTTCTGCAAAAATATTTGTTCCTTAAAATGTAAATACTTTTAGCAGCTACATTTTTAACTGGTATGATTGAAAGCAGCATTAGTTCCTCTTGGAAAATTCAAGTTTGCAAATATTTTTTGAAAATTTTTAATTTTGAGAAGAATCTCTCTGCTAGCGTAACTATTACTGGAGCTGTTAGAAGTATTTTGTAGGCTGTGACAACTTGAGGATACTTTTAAAATAAGTTATTTCAAAATATAAATTATCCCAGAAAAATCCTCCTTCAAAAATTTAACTATTCAGAGAAATCATTTTTATGGAAGTTTGAATTTAATTTAAATTGTGAATTTTATTGTGAATTTATTCAATCGCCTTGTAATATATTTCCTTTGATGTCCTACAATTTGTTGAGTCTTATAAGCTGAAAGTGGCTTCATGATTTGCATATAATTCAAAATTCCTACTTATGCATTCTATCACTTTATCTTGATTAAAGGAAAATATTAAGTTGTCCTTCTTGTTAGTAATTGATCCATAGGAGCTTCAAACAAAAATAGTGCTCTTTTCAGCTGAATGCAATAATCTTTCAATTTAATTTCTGTTATTGGCAGAATCGTGTTCCCTCCCAAATTTACATGTTGAAGTCATAAACCCTGTAATTCTTAATGTGACTGTATTTGGAAACAGGGCCTTTAAAGAAGTAATTAAGGTAAAATGAGTTCATATGAGTCCTTAATTCAATATATTTTGTGTCTTTATAAGAAGAGATCAGGACACAAGCACACACAGAAAGAAGATCAAGTGAAGACACAGGGAGGGGAAAATGGCGCCTATAAGCTGAGGAGAGGGGACGTAGAAGAAACAACCCTAAGGATACCTTACTCTTGGACTTCTTGTCTCCAGATTTGTGATGACATACATTTTTGTTGTTTCAGGCACCTGATTTGTGGTACTTTATTATAGCATCCCTAGCAAACTAATGAAATTTCTATTGCTAAACCTATGGATATTTGCTTTGAAATGTTGCAGCAGTTTGCAAACCTGAAGATTTCCTACCTTCTTTAAAGTAACAACTATATACTGTTTATGTTCTTAGAATCTTGGTTCTTAAAAATAACAGTGCAGTGTCAAAAGAATGTTTTATATGTTCATTTTCTCTGACACTAAAAATCATATTTTATTCTTGTTAGCATACCATAAAAATTCACACACTGCTGATATTTATATTGAAATTGCACTGAATCTATAGAAGAAACTGGGTAGAATAAACATCATTAGAATATTGATACTTCCTATCAGTGAGATTGTCTCCCTTTATTTAGGTTTATTTTAATATCTGCATATTAGTTTTACAAATTTCCCCTTAAAGGGCTTTTGTAGGATCTATACATAGATAACTGTTGATTCTCTGAACTACATATCTTGAATTTTTTTGTCTGTCTCAGGTGTATACAATTGCATTTGATTTCTCTCGTCAGTTATAGATCCAACAAAATTGTTTAAGTCTCTTTTCATAATTTTCCTATGCTTTTTCTCCTATACTTTTATATAGCCAATTATAGAATGTGTTAATATAGCAGATGCTATTCCTTTTCATTTTTATAACATTTACATTCTTTTTTATTTTATTTATTTTTTCAAGATGGAATCTTGCTCTGTCACCCAGGCTGGAGTGCAGTGGTGCGATCTCAACTAACTGCAACCTCCGCCTCTTGGGTTCAAGCAGTTCTCCTGCCTCAGCCTCCTGAGTAGTTGGGATTACAGGCATGAACCACCACACCAGCTAATTTTTGTATTTTTAGTAGAGGTGGGGTTTTGCCATGTTGGCCAGGCTGGTCTCAAACTCCTGACCTCACATGACCTACCCACGTCGGCCTCCCAAAGTGTTGGTGTTACAGGCGTTAGCCGCCGCACCTGCCTTTTTTATTTTCTTAAGTGCCTTAGTTAGAACCCCAACTAGAATGTCAAATAGAAATGATAATGATAAACATCTTTGTTTTGTTACATATTAAAAAGGAAATATTTTTAAAGTTTCATTAGTAAGCTTTTTATTTCTTAAGATATAGGTTATACCCTGTAGCATGTTTTAAGATTTTAACGTTTTCCCTAGTTTGAAATCAGAATTTTCTTCCATGATCTTTAAGTTTTCAATTGACATATAATTACTGTGTATATTTATGGCATACAGAGTTATGTTTTGATACATACAAAGTACAGTGATCAGATCAGGGTAATTATTTTTTTTCTCTTCTTTTTTTTTTTTAGTATACCCATCATCTCAAATTTTTATCATTTGTGTGGAAACATTTAATATCTTCTAGCTATTTAAAGGTATCTATTACTGTCAACTACAGTCATCCTAGGATGCTATAAAACACTAGAACTGGTGCCTTCAGGACCTTTTATTCTTATTGTAGAACTGAGGGGCAAGAGGTTTAAAGAGATTACATGATTTGCCTGAGTTGAAACCACAATTTCAAAAGGATATTTTCAAATGCAAATCAGCCATTCATTCTTGGGATAAACTTCAATTGGTCTTGATGTTTTACCTTTTTCACTTAATGTTGCATTATATTAGCTATTTTGTAAAAATTTATGAACTTATGTATATATATACGATTGGCCTATCTACCATAGAGATGTCATTTTCTCTTTTCATTTTGTTTATTATATTCTTCAATGCATTACTAGTTTATATTTTATGATTCAAAGTCTATCAGTATATTCCTTTTTAAAATCCATTTGGATATAATGCTTATAAAAGCTCTCTGAAGTCCAGAATTATAAATTCTACTTTTTTTTCCCAAATACTTTGGTGGTTTTATATTTCTCCTTACCATTTTTATCTATATCAGGTCTGTAATTTAGTCTTTGGTGAAACAAAATTAATGGATAACCTCTTTATTCCCACTGAAGCGCAATCCATATGATTATTAACCCTTATATATAGTCATGTACTACATAATGACATTTTGGTGAACGACAGACTGCATATACTACAGTGGTCCTATAAGACTGTCATATCATATGTTTACTGTACATTTTCTATGTTTAGATACACAGATACTTGCCATTGTGTTGCAATTGCTTATGGTATTCAGTACAGTAACATGCTGTACAGGTTTGTAGCTTTGGAGCAATAGGCTATATCATATAGCCTTGGTGTGCACTAGGCTATATCATCTAGGTTTGTGTAAGTACAGTCTATGATCTTCACACAACAAAACTGTCTGCCAACACATTTCTCAGAATGCTCTCCTGTTATTAAGTTATGCATGACTGTGTATACCTGGGTATATTAGTTACCTGTTACTGCATATAGCAAGTGATGCAGAAGAAAGCGTGGCAAAAGCCATAATGTCTTTCATGGCCTAACACCAGAAGCCACATGGTCATTTCAACAATATCCTATTTTTCACGTGGTCAGCACTATTCCAAGTGGGAGGAGAAGACACCAGAACATGAACAAACACCAAGAGACAAGGAGCATGTGGGGGCCATCTTGAAGGCTGGCTGCCATGTTGTATTATTAATGACTATCCATTCTTTTCCATTAAACTGAATACCCATTGTGAGTCCAAACATACAGTATTTTATTACTTAATAAGATAATTTCTCTCAAATTATTTCTTTGTTGCATTATTCATTTACTTAGTCTTTTAGATAAATTTTAGAATCATTTTGTCAGTTGTAAAAACTTGGGAAGAAGTTCTTACATATAAAATTCACATATTTTAAGTGGGTGAGGATATTTATTGGCACTGCTCTGACCTATATTAAAATATGAAGAACTGACATCTTGAGAACATTATGGCTTCCAACCCACAACTCGAATATCTTTCCCTTAATTTTTCTATTTGATTTTTCAGTTCATTTTATTTTCATTAGTTAAATGAATTTTTGTTACATTTATTCCTAGGTATTTTGTATTTGCTTCCATTGTGAAGGAGATTTCTTTCATTATTTTTGTAACCTTTAATATTGTTCTGCAAAAAAAAAAAAAAATCTATTGCTTTTTCAACTGCTTTAGCGTTTGGAATGGCTTCACGTATAAGCCTTTTGAATTTTCCCAATAACTCTATTATCTACAAATTATGATAATTTTATCACTGACACTTCATTTTTTAACCTATGATTTAATATTAAGTTCCCATAAATTGAACAGCACTTTAGGAACAAAATTAAATGTGTTTACCATCTGCAACTTCCTCTTTTCTGTTATTAAGAGGTAATGATTACAACTGAGAAACACTCACATAGCACTTATTTTCCAGGAGGCACTTCTTTAACTACTATACGTTGGTTAACACTGTATTCCTAACCATAACTTTAGGAGGTGAACACTCCCAATTTTACAATGAGAAAATGGGGGCACCGAAAAGTAAGGTAATTAATTAAAGTCACAGACCTATTAAGTAGCAGAGACAAGATTCCAGTCTTAGCAATCTGGCTCCTTACTTGGTTCCTGTAACCATTAAGCTATGTCACCTCTCAAGGAACTATCTCTGTGGCATCTGAAATCTTAAGAAAGGCACCCAAACACTCGTTTGGGTGTAAAGAAGGTGACAACTCCTGCTTTGTTAGAAAGTTCATTCCCATCTTAAAGATGTATTAGATCAGAAACTGAAACTGAAGGGAACCCTAGAGACCAACTAGCCCTACCAGGTAGACTACAGATGAGGGAGAATTAAGAAGAAATCCACAGGGAAACTGTTTTTCCTAAAGTCTTACAAGTACCTAATGGAAGCAACTGGGCTATTTAAAGATGACTGAGGTGGAATTATAACTCATGCATTTCTACTGATGTGTAATTAAATGCTCTTCTCCTATTCAGAGTGATAAGTAATCAATAGAAATGATGGGAGACTGAAATCTAATGGAAAAGGATGGAAAGATTTGAATTCGTGTTCCCAGAGAGAATAACCATAATCCCTGGGTCCTTAAGAATGGGCAGCACAAACACTCTTAGGAGATTTTAAAGTTATAGCAGTCTCTACTTGTGCAGAAGCGTCAGCTGTTTCCAAAGTATGTGAATGTTGCTTTTATTTTAGGCAGAGGATACAAAACAAAAATAAAATACAGATAAACACAAAACTTTTAAGTTGTCTTAAAAAAAATCTGCGCTTATTTAAATTTTCAGACAGAGCTAAGCTTGATATTCCAGCTTTCAATAAGGTTCACAGTGTTGGTTGTGATTCTTGATTTTTTTTTTAACTTTTTAATCACAATTTTGATCATTGTTTTTTTGTTCATAGTATTTGGTGAGGAGGGGGAGTTTTACCAGTCCTACTGGAAAGAACGTGTTGTTCTTTCATAAACACATGGAAATTCTTATTTTCACTAACTTGCTTTTTCTTTCCATGGAAGACTCTTTGGAAACATAGCATCTCATTTGGAATGGCAACTAGTGGTGGAAATCCGTTTTTAGCCTTTAGCCCATCATTTCTGCATGGCCAATATTCAACTCTGGAAAGATGGCATCAACCAATTCCTCAAAAAGCAGCCCATGTTCCTTAAAATACTTCTAGGTTACCAATCTCTTGTTACCATTTATTCTTATAAGAAGGAAGGGGTTAATTATTTGACTCTATTTTCTTTGAGTCTTTCTAATTCAATTTCCAGGTGTACAAAATTGGCTCTTAATAAACAAGTACTGCAATGATTACTGGTTTTCCATAACCTATTTTCTCCCTTTACTCTAATTTGGATTATAAATTAAATAATAAACCTATTAGTAATCTCACTAGAAACAAGTGTAAAATGGTCAAATGACATACAGTTTTGATTTCCTCAGTGCATAAATTAGATCAAGTACGTGAATTGATTGGAATATTCTGAACTTTTCCCCTTTAAAAAGTATATTAAGGGAAAACAGATTTGGATAAAATTCTATGTTTAAAATATTCTGCATTAACAATTTAGACAACTTCTTTGGTAAAGAGAATGGAAAGTTGGCATGGAGCTCCAAAATATATACTGCAAACCGTGGCAAAATATCCAGTCTATTTTACACGTTGTCCACATATGGACATGCAGTATTTTATAGAGTTTTATGAAATTCCCAACATTAGAGGCAATGTATATTTTTGTAAGTGACAAGTAATAAGTCATTCTTTGCATATATTATGAAAAAGAACATTAGAAACTGGATATTGTGGGTTTTTCTAAACTCTGGTCTGTATAGAACTGCAATAAATATTCAGTTCATTTTTCAGGTAAAAAGTAACTCCAAAATGAATAAAGTAAACCACAAATTAAAAAATTCACTAGAAAATTTGAATTGTGTAGGCAATTGATCTTTCTCTTTGTAAAACCACTTCCTTCACATAGTTTAGACTTTTTCAATAATTTGGTTGTGTATGTGTGCACATATGTACATGTGCATGCTTTAATTAGCATCAGCATTAGCATTTTCAGCAGATAGAGAGACTTGTATTTGTTTTGGAGAAATATCTGTCAATCAACAAATATAATTAGACTAAATATTCTCTTAGATCAATATGTGTATGTGTATACATTTAATCTGTTTGAATATCAATTTATTGGTATGTCAAATCCTTAGCAGAAATCACTTTGCTTTAATATAGTCCACTTGTTATGAGTCAGATACCTTTACTTTAATGTTCAGTTTATAATGTGATATGAAGGATGTGGTGAACAATCTCTTTTCACAGATCAATGGTAGGCTAGAATAACATTGTGTGTGTATATACATATATATACACACACACACATGCACATACATATACAATATTTTATGTATATATACGTATATACATCTGCCTAAGTTATAGGATTTGTTATATAAACATATAATTTTTATTAAACATGTAAACATGGAGAATTTACAATGTTTTTCAGAATTTCTAGTGATTTGTTTGCCCTTTGTGCTCATTAATATTCCCCAAACACAGAAATGTAGCTATTATTCCTAGTCTTAAAAACCAGTAGTCTGTTACATACACTTAGCAAAATACAAAGTATAAAATGTAAAGGGATGAAAATTAAAACACAATGGAAATACCCCCATTTTTCTATGCTTTGGAAGATGTGAAACAAAGAAACAAACAAACAAAATAACAACACTGTAAGAGTCCCCACTTCTATAAACATTACTGACAAGGTAAAGATGTTATCATCAGCAGTGCCATCACGTTTATACAGAATTGGAATGGAGGTATAGATTGATTTTTTTAATTGTATTATCTATAAACAGAAACTCTTAACTTCCCAACATAGTATCAATAAATTAAAAGAATCAAGTAAATCAAATAGTAAATTTGATTTTCTATCTATATAATATTTCCTTTTACTTTCCAAGGTGCTTTTATGTAAATCAGTTATTTTGTATCAGCTTTCTTAGATAAGTAATATAGATATTATCAATATTCTGGATTCTAGGTATTGTAAGTGGATTAAAGCATCTTTATAAAGTAAAGCAATGTAACTATGATTGCTGAACTTTCTACAATTATGTGACAAGGAGAGAGAAGGTATTCTCTTGTCTTTAGAGAAGAAAACAGAGGTTTTGAGTAGAATAGGTTGTGTGGTCATGTGTGGCCAAGCTAGCACTAGAAATGTAGTCATCTAACCTCCAGTCTAATTTCCATTCTCCAGAGTTTACCCAAATTTCATTCCATATTTCTCCAAAAGTGTATAACCTATGTTAGCCAAAGATAAACTAGCTTCTTCCTCAGAATCCTTTAGGCCCTCAATGTGCATAAGAATCTCTGAGAGAGGGAATTAGCATGAAATGGGATCTTAAAAACTTTTTTTTCTCCTTCTCATTGACTTCCTGTTAAAATCTTGTGGAACTGGTGTTTAGCTAAGAATGATTTGAGAAAGAAAGCACTCTATCTTTGGAAGTAAAAATAGAAAAAACCATTTTTTCTTTTAAAGTGTTTTGTTAAGGTTTTGGAAAAGTAGTGTCTGACGTGCTGAAAGCAAATAATGAAAGCTCAAGGGCATTGTTCCCACTTTTTCTGGAGCTGTTGTTTTCTGAGAAATCCTGAGAGTTCCTTGGAGATACTTTCAGACTCCTAGACCTGGCTCCGGAGTCCAGAGAAGCTCCTCTTTTGTAGAATTTATTCTTATTATTACCTTTTTTCAGCATCTGTATTGTTTTCCTAGGGTTGCCATAGCAAATTACAACAAACTTAGTGGCTTAAGACAACAGAAATTTATTCACTCATAGTCGTGGATTGTAGAATCCGAAATCAAGGTGTTGGTGGGCCCACACTCCCTCTGAAGGCTGTAGGGAAGAATTCTTCCCTGCCTCTTCTTAGCTTCTGGTCGATCCTGGCAATCTTTGGCTTTCTTTGGCTCCTAGTTGCACCTTTCCAATCTCTGTCACTGTTTTTGCATGGGCTTCTTCTCTGTGTGTCCTCTACTCTTCTTATAAAGACACCAGTCTTGGATTTAGGACCCACACTTACCCAGTGTGAACTCACTTTAATTGGCAAAGGCCCTGTTTCCAAATAAGGCCACATTCTAAAGCTCCAAGAAGACATGAATTTTAGGGGACACTGTTCAACCCACTACAGCTTCCAAAATGCATAATTAAAGGAAAGTTGCAGCAACTAAAAATAAAGTTTAAAAATGATAGTTTTAGACAGAGAAAGCAGAGGCAACTTCTTAAATTATCATGCAGCAAAACAATAACAAGGAGAATTCATTTAACTACATAAAGAAATGGGACATTGCTGGATATAATTCTGTTCATGTTTTGCTTAAAGGAGAAATATAAGTTCATACTAAGATCCACATTATCTTTGCCTAAAACTTTTCACTGATGTCTTTGAATGGCAAGTAACCTGTTTTTTGCAGTGATTTTCACATTGCTTAAAAATGGACACTATTGTCCATCAGTCATCATGTTATTTGCCATGTCAATAAAAATGATTTACTAATCCAAAATGCATACCAGAAGAGCAGAATTTAACCCTCTCTTTCTTAGATAGATAGATAGATAGATAGATAGATAGATAGATAGATAGATCATAGATAGGTAATGGAAGACGTTGTTGTGATACAGTTGGTTCAGATACAGAAAAGCCATCTGCACAAGCATTACAGAAATCTTAGCATTGGGAGTTATTTGCATAGAAATATAAATCACAAATAAATTATTGGGGAATTTTATTGAATAGAAACTGTTATTTCCTATTATTTCTTGATATAATTTCTCATAGAGAAACATAAGGGAGTATAAATACATTATGTTTCTTGTTCTAAATCAGTGGTTTTCAAACTTGAGCCTGCATCAGATTCATACAGAGAGTTTGTTCATGACAAGATTGCTGGGCCCTACTTCCAAAGTTTAAGATTCAGTAGATCTGGAGTGGAGCTCAACGATTATTTGCCCTTCAACAAATTCTTGAGGTGATGTTGATGTTACTAGATTGGGACCACACTTTGAGAACCACTGGTTTAGCTGCATCAGTTAAACATCAAATTAAATGGAATAAAATAGCCATGAAATACCAACTTAACTTTAACCCTTTCTGAGGATTTCTTAAAATTGTCTTTCCTCCATCGAGATGATAAAAACTCTAAATTGCAGATGTCAATACTCAATAGTAACGCAACTCAAGAGCTGCACAGAGACATTTGAAAAGGATACTCACAGGGATTAAAAAAAAAAATAAGAAGAAAAACCTCATACAATTTCCACATTTTGGTGAGATCTTTATGTTTCTTTAAAAGTTCCATAGGTAATTTTTTTTTTTCCAGATAGAGTCTTGCTCTGTTGCCCAGGCTGCAGTGCGGTGGTGTGATCTTGGCGCACTGCAACCCCTGCCTCCCAGGTTCAAGTGATTCTCCTGCCTCAGCCTCCCAAGTAGCTGGGATTACAGGTGCACGTCACCACACCTGGCTAAATTTTTTTTGTATTTTTAGTAGAGACGGGGTTTCACCATGTTGGCCAGGCTGGTCGCAAACTCCTGACCTCAGGTGATCCACCCACCTCAGCCCTCAAAGTGCTGGGATTACAGTGTAATGTTTTTTAATGGTATTAACTGTAAATTAACTCATTATTGAGTGAATCATTAGCAAATGCATGAATACATGCAAAGTACTAAGAAGGGGGTCCGGCAAATAACGAAAACTTTGTGTTAATTCTCATTATGGAAATACTCATACAACATAGACTATTAAATAAATCCTTCCTTCGATTTCTCCTCTGCTTCTGCCAATCCTGCTTTTCATATACAGAATGTTGGAAGTCTGCCATGTATGCCTCTAGATTTTATCACACACTTACACACACACACACACACACACACACTTGTTTTTCTATAGTTGGGTTATTTAAAATATTTCTATTTTTGCACCTTGCAGTTCTCACTTAAATATCATGACACCCTTACTTGACAGTAAAATGTTCTTTTTATGTAGTTTTATCATTATTTTTATGTAGTTATTATGCTAACTTTATTAGTATTACATAAAATCAATGTGTACATATATTTTTAAAAATAAGTGTGAGGGGCCGGGTGCAGTGGCTCACATCTGTAATCCCAGCACTTTGGGAAACTGAGGTGGATAGATCACGAGGTCAGGAGTTCAAGACCAGCCTGGCAAACATGGTGAAACCCCGTCTCTACTAAAAATACAAAAAAAATTAATCGAGCATGGTGGCAGATGCCTGTAGTCCCAGCTACTTGGGAGGCTGAGGCAGGAGAATCGCTTGAACCTGGGAGGCAGAGGTTGCAGTGAGCTGAGATCGCAGCACTGCACTCCAGCCTGTGCGACACAGCGAGACTCTGTCTCAAACAAACAAATTAAAAAAAAACATAAGTGTGAGGGCTTATATAAAATGCAATAAGTTTCCTTTCTCTTCCACTTCCTCCCCAACCATGGCGCCAGCCTTTCTGACAGAAGCAACCTCAGTTTTAGTTTTTTTCTTTTCTTTTTAATAAAAGCAATTAGCACACTGATATTTTTCTTTTTTAAAAAAATATATTGGTGATATACCCTAATTTCCTGATTTTGTAGAATTTAATCAGCCAATGTTGGACTAGTGTAATAATCTTTTTTGGATGGCCATATAACTTTAGAAATGTAACCCCTCTGGAGAAAAACTGCCAATTCCAAACAAAATAAGCTCTCCATCGCCATTTCAAATAGGACAAAATCCTTTGTGAAAGATACTTTCTTAGTGTAGACAGAAAAAAGAATCAACCTTATTCTTGACCACCCAAGCAGTTAAAAGTAAGAATAAACTTTGAATTATACATTAATGTTTATAAACCTTCTAGATGGACTTATGTGTCGGGTTCGTGTGAATGAAGAAAAATAGAATCAAGCTTTTGTAAAAAACCAAAAACATGATATAGATTCTGTTTGGCTTCCAGAAAGTGAATAACAATTACACTGCAGCAGAACATAAGTGCAATAAATCTCAACTTTATTTCAAGTTTAAACTTTCAACCAAACATGGCAAAGTATAAATATAATTGCTCTTCAGGCCTTAAAACCTTGTTGGTTGAAATGAAAAAGAGGAAAAAACAAGTCTTTAATTTTGTTTTATAAACATAAGGAGAAAAATGGAAACCTTTTATCTGAAATTATTATGACATTTTTACGATATTTAAAGTGGGGGTTCTCAAATGCATGACTGAAGTTCATTCCAGCAAATCGAGGGTTTACACAGGTTAAAATGTCTGTGAGATTAGGATAGTCTCTTAGACACTCAGGTTTATCTTGTAATGTTCAGGTAAATTTACATAGCAGAGTTCCTTGAAATTTCTAGATCGTCTTTTTCTTTCATCCCAACCTCAGTGGAATCCTTTCATATCCACTCCAACCCTCTTTATCTGGACCTGCATGATAGAAAAGCTTGATGTTTTGACAATGTCTCCTGTTAGATACAGAAAAGAGAGATTAAAAAAAAAATCAGAGCTGGATGATACATGGGGGAAGGGAAGTTGTCTTAGATCTAAAAACCACAGCTCAATATTGTAGAACATAATGGTTTAAGACCAACATTTTAAATAAAACTTTGTTACACTTTTTTTTTCCCCAATAATATATGTGCTGGTCTATAGCTATATAGTCTTCATAGTAGTTTAGTTTCTTCTTATCCTTTCTTCCTGTAATTTAGTCTAATTGTTAAGAGTCTTATGATGTCAGAAAAATTTTCCAGGTCTTGGAAATAGGTGGGCATGAGAGACTACTGGGTGCCCTTTCAGTGGAGATCTGGGCATTGTCTTGAGGCCCCTCCCTAGGGATTGTCTGATTCTACAAAGGTGTGCATGTGTGATTGATTTGCCATTATTAGCTATTTGACCATTTTGAAGGGGTAGAAGTTAAGCTGTGGGAAATCAGAAGCAATGCAAATGTTTCCTGTTCATTGCAATGCAAATTAACTTTCTCTGTTAGAAAATATGCATTCCACGAATCACGTTCTCATTTGAACCAGTTTTAACCTTTTAGTATTTTCATCATTAATTAATGAGTAGAATGAAATCTTTTATATGTGTTTACTGTATATGTAACAATTTAACTTTTTAAGAACACATACTTTAACAGTTGTCAGTCATTGGAGGGTCTATATTTCTTGAAGGTTAGAAATCACTTACTAAGCAGCTAATTACAGGACACAGAAATCATAAAAGCTGAACTTCTCAGTTATTCTTTGGACTCAGCATTTCTTGTCTTTCAGGAATACAATTGTCTAGCACATTTATATTTGGAAGCAATTCAAATCTTAATTTCAAGTTTCTTTAGAAAATGAAAAAAGGAGGCTACGACATTCTTAATGCACAGCTAAACTTCTAAATATTATCTTTCTTCTATCTCTGCCACAAAGGTGAGATCTCTGTCTTTTTGCTCCTCCTCCCCTCCTCTCTGCTTTCAAGTCCAAGCCGTTGCAGCAGAACAACTTAGAACTCAAGCACTAGCTCTAGTATCCCCACACTCCAGGTCTGGCTCTCAAAATCAGCATTAGTTTGGTGCAAAAGTAATTGTGATTTTTGCATTAGTAACAGCAAAATAAAATACCATAGTAATGGCAAAGCAATTACTAATGGCAAAACCGCAATTGCTTTTGCACCAACCTAATAGCTGTAAGTCTTTAAGAAAACTGCTTAACTACCCTCTGGCCCAGTTCCCTTTCTGATTTATAAAAATGGGATGATGATGATAAAAATAATAGTAACAATAATTCTGTTGTCAGAAAAATTTAATCAGCTACTAAATGTAAGTGCACTTCGAGAAGTACTTGATGCATTGAACCTCGATGAATGGGAACTGTGGCTTAGGGCTCTTCCACTAGTAAGAATAGACTAGAATGTATTTTCCATACAGGATCTTCTAATGTTCTATGTCTGAATATATGACTCTAATCTTGAAGAGGCATCTTTCAAATTTAGCAATACTTTTATCAGTCCTGGATCAAGATTGTGATTTCTTAAAGTATTTAACCAAAATAAATCAAAGCTCCACAACTTCTAAACTAATGCCCAAACCCTGACAGGTAACTTCTTTATGAAGCATCACTCCTGTATCTTAGTGTCTTGTAAGTGCAAAGCTCTTTAACGTTAACAAAATTTTCAACACTTAAAAAAATTACTGCACCAAAAATAAAACCAAGATTTTCTCATTATCTTTGACTCCACATAAGTTCTGCAATTGTGCCTTGGTTCTTTAATTTATATTTTAAATAAACATAGTTTCAGTCACATGGTTCCTCTTGCCTCAAATATTCAGTATTAAGTCTTCTGCAAGTTTTCTGTCTACTTCTTTCTCTATGCTCTCAGAAATCTTTGTACTTCTTTAATTCTAGCATATAACAGTTTTTCTTCTTTGCATTCTCAATAAGTTTTGTTGCTGATTCCCTAGGGTGAGGACTTTGTTTTCTGATCTGCACATAATAGCAATAAATATTTGTAGATTGAATACAGAGAGGAGAAGGTGGATACATGAACTATGGGACTAACATGATTTCTATTCCTTTTCCTATGCAAATCTCATCCTCCCTTTGATGTCTTTTTGGAATTTCAACTCGTAAATGAAGACCTCCTTGTTTATCTCAGACCTCAGGAATATTTTTTCCTAAAAATTTCTCCAGAATTAGAATCCACATTTATTTTTCTCCTTCTCTTCCTTCTTTGTATTATTATGATGATGCACTCTTGAACTGAATAAGTCTTCCTTCTACCCAACCCCTGGGAAGGTTTATAAGACTATAAGATTCAGGTGCATAAGGACAATGAGCTATAACTTGGTACCATCCTCAATTACTCATGCAGTATTACATTCAGTGTAGGCATTCAATAAGTTCAGGCTTAGTGAAGGTTGTCACTGAAATCCCATCAGCTCAGCAGGGAGCAAGGAGCCTCTTTGAAAGTAAGTAGCCAGGACTCAGGACCCTCCAAGGAATGTGTGATTTAATTAAACTTTTCAAGCTTCAGAGTAATTAGTTGCTGATCAGCAATATTACTATTTTGAGTTTCCAAATTATAAGCACCATTAACTACAAACAACTACATTCTTAGAAAAAAATAGAGGAGGAAGTACAGGAAAATAATGCAGAAGTTAAGAACGTAGGAACACACAGGCATTCAGTGCAGATGAAAAGACAGAAGGCGCAGAGTACATTTGAAACTAACATTGAGAAAGTGACTGCTGATAAGCAGATGTGCACAGAGCCTTACTCAATAAAAAGAGAAAGTTATGTTTTGACTGTAGGAACATTTGTTTTACAGAACTGCTGTACTTTTGAAAGTCTTGGATTATTATTTACAAATATACTTACATAGTATAAAAACAAAATGACACACAGGAAAAAAAGCTAAGAAGTAGTCTGGCTCCAGAGCCCAGGTCTAAGTTCTGATTCCTAAGCTCTCTTTTGTTCTTTGGGTTTAGATTGTTTTTCTTTCAGCCAAGGGATGAAAAAGAGTAACAGACAGGCAAGCTTCCCATTTTCCCCACAAAATGTAGGATACCCCACTACCATTAACTACAGTATACTTTCTGTATTTCTTTTTCAAGAGAAGTGTTGGATTAAGAAATGTACAGGCTCATCAAACAAAGACAGAATTCTGGCTACCATTTGGACCTCACAAGATATTTTTGGAAAGAAATCCTGGAACTGTGAGTGGAAAAAGGACAATCTAAGAGCAAAACCCATCAATGAAAACCAAATCCACAAGCACGTTTGATTCTGAAATCCCATCTCCGGTCTATAAAGTTTTTTTAAAAAGTATTTTTCATTTTTCTTGTAGTATGTCAATCACTTGTTAGACATCAGAAAATAATTACCCTTTTTATTTTCAAAGTTTCTGCAATTATAAAGAGAAAACTGAGTAAAACAACAACAGGCCTGTTATTTGGCAGAGGATAAAAACATGACTTCGAAAAATAGTAAGACCTTTAAAAAATGTGAAAATGAAAACAATGCCTAGACTAGGACTGAGACACAATCTTTCACAGATAAACAATTTCATAGGCTTGACTGCCCTAACATTCATCATTTTCTTAGGTTGGGCCTCAAAAGTCATGGTAAATATAAATCTATGTCAGCCTTGCAGCAAAATGTAATTTTTTAGAAATAAGTTAAAAGTAAAGCTCTTCAAATTTTTATACTTTATTTGGCATAAATGACAGCATGCGATTCTTTTGAGTTTTATATTTTATTTTACACGTTTCGGTTTATTTATCATTGAGTGAGTACCCATTGCTTCTATTATTACTTAATTGAAGAAAACTTTTAGACATGTGTGTCATGAAACCATTACAATATTTCTTATGCATCAATGCCAATTTCAAAAGCTTCAACTGCCTGAATTTGGATAAAAATGCAGTTTCAACATCATTACCATCATTATTACAATCATTGTGTTTAAAAAGAATTAAGATACCGATGTAGAAAGAACATTTATGAAAGAACTGAGAAAGTGGCAGCCATTCCTTCAGATCCCACTTAAGATGTTTCTGCTTTTGAGATGCTGACTTTAAAGGTGTATTAGTTGATTATGTTATTAATCTGTTTACCCTTCCACCCACAGTTGAATGTAGAGAGAGCCTCAGATCTAGTGACCTGTTCACCCATCCTTAAAATAGCTTCCTTATATTGCTTTTAGAATGAAAAGCAATAGGAACAATGTACTGGAATGAGGATGTGCTATGGGGTCAGACTGACCTGGAAGCAAAGCCCAGCTCTTTTAACAATTACATAATCTCTCTCAACCTTAGTTTGTTCATCCGTGAAATTGGGATATGAAGACTGGCCCTGCTGCAAAGTTTCAAGGGTTTGAAATAATGTAGGTAGTGTTCAGTAGATAATAAGCAAGTTTTAAGATAGCATTTCAATGTGTTTGGTCACAACAATTGATTGATTAGGTAGAAACTTCTGTTCTCCATGATTCTACTGTGCTTATGTCGGTCTAGGGTTTCCTAGACAAGATAGTATATGAAAGTCATCAAACATCCCTTCCTTAAAGATGAGTTTCCTCTGGAGATGTATGGGAATACTCCCCTGAACACTGGTACCTTCAATTGCTGGCAAAAAACCATCAGACTCATTTTATCAAAATAATGAAAATAATGTAATCTAGAAAGAATTTCTGTTTTCCCCAATGCCTCATTCCCTAGAAAAGACAAAATCTATTGCCAAACTGTAGTATTGCTAACAAGCTATGGGAAAGAGAGGAAAATCCAGCACCTTCCAGAAGATATTTTACAGATAGTGGAATCACTTTAATTATTTTCAAAACAAAACAAAAGGTCTGCAATATTCCCAGGAAGTATATTGGGTGGGAATATTTAACCCACTTATTGAATGGATAGTTTGGACCTTTGCATAATCTTAACAAAAAATTTAGGTGTACTCAAATTTCCAAGTAGAAAACGTGGCATAGGAATTCTACCTAAACTTGTGAGGCACATGAGCAAACTTTTGCAAAGAATAGCTAAATATATCTAAAGAAATATAATTTACTGCATGTTATAACATATATTACATAATTCTTGAAAACAAAAATATTTAGATTTGCCCAGCACCTATGAATACCTCTAGGATTATCACAAAGACACAAAGATGTATCATTTTCTTTGTTTCTCAGTTTAATAATATAAAGGTAATTGGCATCAAATGTCAATCTCATCAAACATAATTGATTTGTTTTTCAATGCCTATGATAAGAACGAACTAGTGCACACATTTACCTCTTTAATTCATATTGCCCTGAAATTTTCAGTCATGTGTATTGCTATTTCAGAGCAATTAATTTACATCTAAGATAATTCCTAAGAGTTATTGAGAATTCTCAAAATTGATGTAGCCTATCAATCACACCACCTTCCAAAAACAAAAACAAACACCTTAACATTTGCAGAGTATTAGAAGCAGCCTAATTTTAGAGAGATTATCCATAATCCTTTATGTGAGTTGTTTCCCTCATAAAAAAAAAAGAAGTGAATTACTATATTTCAATGGGTCAGTGAAAACTTTCTCTGAAAACTGTGTTGCTATATAAACAAAAATGGGTTTATCTACTTAATTGGCTTAACATATATTTTTATCTTTTGTTTTTTTATTCAGTGTTATTAAGGTATAATTGACAAATAAAAATTGTAGACTATATATTCAGGGTGTACAAGGTGATGTTTCAGTATATGTATATATTTTTTAATGATTAACATAATAAAGCTAATTAACATATCCATCACCTTACAGTTAACTTTTCTTTGGGTAAGAATATTTAAAATAGAATCTCCTAGCAAAATTCAATTATACAATACACTATTATTAACTATAGTCACTACTTTGTAAGCTAAGTTCCCAGAACTTATTCATCTTGTTAGTGCAAGTTTATACCTTTGACCCAACACGTCCCCTTTTCCCCCACCCCTCAGCCTCTGGCACCCCCCATTCTACCCTCTGTTTTCTATGAGTTAAACTACTTTAGATTGCACATGTAAGTGAGATCCTACAGTATTTGTCTTCCTGTACCTGGTTTATTTCACTTAATATAAGGTCCTCCAGCTTTATTCATGTTGTCACGAATGTCGGAATTTCCGTCTTTTTCTAAAAGACTGAATACTGGTACAGCCATTATGAAGAACAGTATAAAGATTTCTCAAAAAATTAGAAATTGAACCGCCATACAATCCAGCAATTCTGCTGCTTGGTGTGTGTCCTAAAGAAATAAAATCACTAACTTGAAGAGATATCTGCACCTCCATGTTCATCGTAGCATTATTCACATTAGCCAAGATATGGAATAAACATGAGTGCTCTTGAGCACATGAAAGGATAAAGACAATGTGTGTGTGTTGTGGGGAGTATGTATGCGCAGGTATAGAAAGATTACTCAACTTTAACATATACTTTAAATGAAGTATAATTTGCAAACCTGAAGCAGACATTCTATTTAACTGTGTTTCAAATGTGGTCCAGAAAAAGAGAAATGGAAGGACAACTGCATGAAGGATAAGTGAAAAGCATCCATAGAATAAAGGTAAAGAAGGAGAAAACTAAGTTCACTGCAGAATGACATTTTTTTTTTGACCACGTCTTCAGAGTTTATGGATTTAGGAATATGCCAAAGGAGAAATGTTACCATTTGAAATGTCCATGTCGGTTCTCAGCCTGCAGGTGCCTGTTCCTCAGAGAACCTCATGTAGATTTATGTCCTCCTCATTAGGCCACATGATGCCATGTTCTATTATGACTAACATCCTTATAGTGTGTACAAAATATGTGAGACAAAAGTCCACACCCCCTCTTTGATTCTAATTAACTCTGTTGCCTGGGACTTAGCATTAAGACTCTGGCTTAACATCCCTACTTTAAAATGGAAATAATGACGTATCCATAAGACGTAGGGACCACTCTGAGGAAAAACTGTAAGTATTCTCTAGTTCCAGAGACCAGTGACAGTCCCCTGTTACAGTTTCAATGGGATTCTTTTATCCATTTTATTTTTCCTACCTAACATTAGGATTCAGTTCTCATTTTCCCCATGGACACCATTTTTTATAGTGACATAAATATATTTTCTCTTTCTTTTAAAATTGTTTTCAGGTTTTTTGTTTGGTTTTTGAGATAGGGTCTCACTCTGTCACCCAGGCTGGAGTGGAGTGGCATGATTATGGCTCACTGCAGCCTCAACCTTCAGGCTCAGGTGGTCTTCCTGTCTCAGCCTCCTGAGTAGATGGGACTACAGGCATGCACCACCATGCCTGCATAGTTTTTATTTTTTTATTTTTTTTTATTTTTTGGAGAGATGGGTTTTGCCATGTTGTCCAGGCTGGTCTTGAACTCCTGGGCTCAAGCGATTCCCTTGCCTTGGCCTCCCGAAGTGTTGGGATTACAAGCACGAGCCACCACACCTGGCCCATTTTCAGGTTTCTTAAGTTGCAATTAACAAAAGTTATATATATTTATGGGGTACAATGTGATGTTTTGCAACATGTATATATTGTGAAATGATGAAATAAAATTAATGAACATTCATCCCTTCACATACTTAAATTTTGCAGTAATAACATTTAAGATCACTCTCAGCAATTTTCAAATATACGATACAGTATTACTAACACTAGTGACCATACTGTCACTATGTGAATAGATCTCCAGACCTTATTCACCCTGCATAAATGAAACTTTGACGCCTTTGACTAACATCTCCCCATGTCCCTCCAGCTCTTTGCCAGCCTCTGGCACTCACCATTCTACTTTCTTTTCATGAATTAGACTTTTTAAGATTCCACATACAAATGAGGTCATGTAGTACCTGTCTTCTGTGTTGGCCTATTTCTCGAATAACGTAATGTCCTCCAGCCTCCTCCATGTTGTTAACAATGTCAGGATTTTCTTCTTTGTAAAGGATAAAAGTATTTATTCCATTGCATACACACACGCACGTGTGTGCACGTGCACACACACACACACACACACACACTGCATTTTCTTTATCCATTCTTCCCTTGATGAACATTTAAGTTTACTCCGTATTGTGGCTTTTGTGAATAATTATGTAATTAATGTGGAAGCCCAGGTATCTCTTTCAGATAGTGATTTTATTTCCTTTGTATGTATACCCAAAAGTGGAATTGCTGGATCATATGGCAGTTCTATTTTTAATTTTCTTTCTAAATTCTGTACTACTTCTCCATTTCTGTGGTATACAAATTACAATAGTTCTCTTGGCTGCTGAGGACATTTTCTTGGATTCATTTATAGATTTGACAACGCCCACCTTCTTCCCCAGACTCTTCATATATATTGCACACCATGATAAAGCATTTTGAGCAATTGAATGGAAGGACTCCTAGATAACGCAGCAGGCAAAAAGGAAACTCATCTTGGATGGAAAAGAAAATGAATCATCAGAGACAAGATAAATGCATACAATAAATATAATATTGTACCCCAGGGGACAACAGAGGCATTGCACCTAATGGCCATAGAGTATAATAAAGCCATAAAAATAAAATAAAATGATGCACTATTCCCAGTGCATCGACCCACCCACAAGTTGCTAGCAGCACTACCAGAATAGATGACATTTCCATGATGCATGGACCACCAATGAGGCTCACAGAGATATGATGTATTTATGGTTTTCTCATTTATCTTTTAAAGACAGCATAGGAATGTGACTGTGAATGTAGAAAGTACTTTCAAAATCCTAGGAAAACTTAAGCTGCATAAAATTTATAGTCAAACAAGCATGCTACTACTAAGACCTAAACTGGCTGTTATTAAAGGAGAGGTAATAAAATGAATGCGTCTTAAGGATAATTACCTCTTTTCAAAAAAATATATAGTTTCCAAATACATGTATATACACATACACACACTTTAAAAATTTTGAAATATAATAAAGAAATAAATATTGCATAAACATAAAATAGTGTCATATTCAGTTTAATGGACTGCAGAAAAGAAAATCTGTGTAGCTTACACCCAAGTCAAGGAACAGAACATTTCTGTATTCCAGAAGCTTCCATGGGTCCCTTCCCTATTATAAATCACTCCCTCTCTCCTAGTGGCAACGACGTTCCTAATTTTTTAATAGCTTCATTGAGATGTGATTAACTACACATATTTAAAGTCTGCAATTTGATCAATTTTGACTTGTAAATCACTGATCATAATCAAGACAATAAACATATACATTAGCCCTAAACCTTTATTCATGCCCCATTATAAACCTCACTATCCCTTTTCCCCCAAGTCCCCCAGGTATTCAGTAATCTCTCTTCTGTCCCTATATTTTAGTCTGAATATCCTAGAATTTTCTATAAATAGAATTATACAGTTTGTACTCCTTTCATTGTCTGCTTCTTTCACTTGGCACAATTGTTCTGAGATACAATCATGTTGTTGTATTTGTTAATAGTTCATTGTTTTTCATTGTTGAATGATATTCTCGTGTGTGTGTGTATGTATGTATGTGTGTGTGTGCATGTGTGTGTGTGTATTATCCATTTACCTGTTAATGCGCAAATGTATTGCTGCCAGTTTGGGATCCTTATAAATTTAGGTATATATGGACACATGCTTTCCCTTGGGTAAATACCAAGGAATGCAATGGCTGGGTTATATTGCAAACTAATTTTTAAATATTTAGATAACCATCAAATGGCTCTCCAATGTAGTTGTATCTGTTAACATTCCCAGCAGCAGTGAATGAGAGTTACAGTTATTCCACATCTTTGCCAACAATTGGTATGGTCAGTCTTTTGAATTTTAGCATACAATATGAAATATTTTATTGAGAGTATTTTTTATTTCAAATGTAAATGTAGTCCTAATTATTCAGTTCTTTTGAAGCCCAGATCCTAGTAGAGAGATTCATTCTTTGCTTCTCCCACCTACTGTACATAGCCCTGTTCCAAGTGGATTACTCTTGCCAGTCCACCTTTCCAGACAGATCTCTTAGTTCTAAGTTTTAAAATTTAAATCATTGTTCTACCTCCCTTTAAAAAAATCTCCTGTCTCACCAATCACCATAGCTCTTACAGTGTGTGGGATGATGAATTCACTATTTGCCGTCACATCCTATAAGTCTCATAAATCATCTGTACATATATCATATTATTACAACAAAAATTTGTGGATGAAAAATATAAAACAATTTATCATCTGGCTGTATAACATTTATTTTAATATCTCAAAATCAGAATAATAATAACACTAGTGAAAACATGGAGATGATATATTAGGAGAATAGGAAGAGTATTTTAATTTTTTCTAAAACAATTGCTATTTTAATAGAAATATGACTAAAATGTATTTGGTTCCATATATTGAGTGTATATTGATATTCACACATTTGCTCATAATTACTTTCTAAAACTACCTATAAAAATTTAGCCACTGTATCAGATTATTACAAGAGTTGGACACTGCAATTAGTAGAACAGTGAAATTATTAAGTGCAGAGAACATATATACCTTTTTTTTATCAAGAGAATAATGAAGGTTCAGTTTTATTGTTGCTATAGAGTTTCCATTTGTTGGCTTTTGATAAGAGCTTGGGTGATATATTCTGACCTCCAAAAGCAGGGTATAAATCTTCATTTCAAAGCTCATAGCAACAAATGTTATTGTCCTACATATTTAAAAAGCTTAGGAAAAACAAGACAAAGTTAAATTTCCTCATGATAGAAAAGAACATATGTGCCCTTCCAAACCCATAAAACTGAGATGAAGAGGCTAAGAGAAAGCAAAGTCTTTTTAAATTTAAAAGATAAAAAAATTCACGTTCACAATGCCAGACCATATTTTCCTGCATTCTGTAAATTATTTTCCTAATTCATATAAATTTTACCAGAGTTATTCCTTTTTAATATTTGTGATAAAATCATTTACCTAATCATAACTATGAAAGGAGGGTCCAATGACCCTCCTTAAGATATATAAATCTTAAGACATTGTGATGTCCAAAGAGATGCTAATGTTAAGTTTGTACATGTTTGCTTATTGTTGATGAGTCCATTTAGCCAGTAAATAAATTTCATTTCTCTACCTTTGATATCCCAATTCGTGGGCTACTTAAGTGTTCTATACTTTATGTGATTTGAAAAGGAAAAACCAATATATAAATCTTGTCCAGGATTTATATATTTGTCCAGGATATCTTAAAAGTTAAAAGATACGCTTAAATTATTAAATTTTTCTCATCTTACAAAGGATTACAACAAAATACAGATAATGGGCTTTTTCCTAACTTAAAAAATTAGTAGGATTTTTTTCACTGCCGCCTTCATTAAAACTAGCATGTCTAGAAAGAACTGTCTTATCAAATATCTGAAATAACCATAAACTTCTGTATTGTTTTTAGTCATATTAACATGAAAATATTTAAAAAGTAAACGGACTAAGCACTACTGTCTATTTCTCCAGAATAACACTTTCATAAACAAGAAATGCAAACAAACATCTTTAAAATCTGAGTTTCGTATACCACTTGCTTTATGCACATTCTTTCAGTAAGTTTATTTTAGAGCTAAAATGACGATAGGAGAATATGTCTCCCTGGAAAACAAAATAAAGCACTATTTTGCAATTGTAGGACTTTTCTGGGGGAAATGCACGAGAAGAAAAAAACAAACTGTGATAAAAAAGTTGACAAGAAATTTAAGGTCTACTGAAGCAAATGTGAACAGACGTAAAAAGTGGTATTTTACTGGATAAAGATGTATTTTGGTAAGATAAATTGAAATACTTCTGTTAAAATAATTACATCCCATCTAAATGAGTAATATTATTAATTAATGTGAAGAACATAAACTTTTGGAAACAAAAGACCTAGATCTGTAAATCGTCTTTTATTATCAGTTGTACAGTCTTGACAATTTATTCCAGAAAATATAATTACATCAGTGCATGTAAAGAAAAAAATCACACCTCAAATTGGTTTGAATAAAAAGACCGAAAAAAAAATCACCAACAATTTAGAAATAAGAAAATCCTAGGGTGGGGTTGGATCAATTTTCAACAATATCAGGTCAGATTCTTTCCAGCTCATCTGACACACTTCCATTCTCAGAGTGTCAGCTTGTCTTTAGGAAGGTTTCCAACAAAGACAAATCATCACTACAGCAGTTTAGAGAATCATATCTAGAGTTAACCATGCCCAGTGAAAGAAAAATGAACACTGGTCAATAAAAAGATGAATAATGTGTTTTTAAGTCAAAAATACTCTCTGTGAGCACTGAATTCAAATTAACTATAGTCCCAAGGTTAAAACAAATGGACAATTGTAGTTATAGACAGAAAGTAGATATAGACCAAACAGCACAGAAACAATGAAATGAAAACCAAGTTGGGAGGGGGTGGGGGAAAAATTGGGGTTGAGAACATTTATAATATTTTTTGTTTTATTTATTAGGTTAGCCTGGTATCATCTGAAAGTGATCAATAATGCAAAAGATGTATATGTTAAGGTATAAAATAGAACACAAAAATAACTGAAGATTTGAGTGGCAAGTAAATGTCTAAATGGAAATATTGTTTATCTTATTGCTAATAGAAGAAATCAGTATATATTGTGTAAAGATATAGAATATAAACTGCATCATGTATAATGTACTATATATAATTATACTTAACTATTAAAATGCTTTCCAAATTATCAGAAAAAAGCCACAAACAAAACATTATAATCAAAAATTTTTAAAAACAGAATATATAAAAGGGGAATTAAAAACAGAAAGCAAAGCATAAATGTGATGACTGTCATAAGATCAACTGTGTCTGCTTTATCAATATTTTATTAAAATGATAATATAAGAAAAAATAGATTAAGTCTCAAAGTGAATACTGTATGTGATAAGCAGAGGATCTTTTTAAAGGATTTTGACTTAGAAGGCTGGGAATAAGAGTTTGTACAGAGGCCTAAGAATAAAGACGTGTCAAAATAAGCAGCAAATGCTTAAATTCTCATTTAGCTCTCCATCTTAATCTACCAATTAATCTTAGCAATAACTGCACGATTTTAACCTAAACCAAAACATAATGTATCTTATTACTTCTAAGTAGTTCAGTATTTTCATATTATAAAAAAAAACATAATCTCACATAATACTTTTTCCAAAAGAAAAAATGGAAGGAAAATGCCTCTTCATTGCTCAAATAAAATGTAGTCACTGCACATGATTTAGGAAGTGGTGCATTATTCATTTTTTGTGGTGAAATATATATCATTTATACCATTTGCTTCTATTGGCTTATGAATATTTTTGTTCTTCTTGGATTCTTAAAAAATCCCTCTATTAGATGAATGATGATTGCTAGGAAATTCTAATAAGAAGTAACATTACAAATGGTATTACAATTGTAGTGATATGGATCTAAAATTCCTATTGTCCATTGATCTAACAAAATTGCTTATATTGACATTTTGATGATGGCTGTAGTCTCACATCTGTTGAAAAATAAAACAAAAGTAGGAAAAAAAAACCTCCCCAAACACATCCAGTTGCTCCCTTATTTGAATGTTTACATTGAGAAGAAGTCAAAAAAGAGCACACTGAGCGGCTCAAATTTTAACATCTCCAAAAGCTGACCAAAGGCAGATATTAAGAAATTCAACTATGGGGAATCTCTTGTAGACTCCATGCTATTAAAACTCATTTTTCCGATAATGCTCATATTATGTCTTTGGTCTTATGAACATAAATCAAGCTGGACATAAAGAATTACTTTATGACATTGCTGTATATATGTAGTTCAAGCCCACTAGAGACATTTCTGCCACTCATTGTTTTCCAGTGATAAAAATAAATGTAATTACTTTCTTGGCTGCAGCTCACTATATGTATTTTTTTCTAATTGTCAGGGTAATACGCTTTTCTAATAATGAGTTCATGCTCCAATGGTGGTTGGTTCTAGACCATTTCTTGGAGAACACAGGAAATGATATACAATTTACCTATGTTGGGAACTCAGAAAATAATTTTGTGAAATGACAACGTTAAGGTCCCAATGATAGCAAAAGTCTAAATCTATTGGAAGGTTATCATATTGTTGAAACATTGGATGCATCATCATTATCCAAATAAGAGTGTTTTTTTAAAAAGACTAAGGTGGAAAAGAGTCAATGAAAAAAAAAAGTTAAATTCTACAGCCTAGAAGAAAAGCAAGAAAACATAGAGAACAAAAAAGTGATGATCATCATATCCTATTACATTTATTTAGGGATATTATGTATTTATAATAAAAGTAAACCTATTATTTCTCCCAAATTCAGAGTGGCAAAAACTAAGGCATGGAGAAGTTATGTGTCATATAGGTTTTATTGAATAGAAAGAGAGCCTGAAACAAGGATTCTGGTGTATGTAATTTATGGAGGAGTGCTCTCAGAACAGGGGTGAACAAATTAAGAAAGGAAGGAAAAAAAAGAGCCAATCAAGAATGTGGTGTCGCCCAGAGATGAATTTTAACATGATCCTTAGTGGCCTTCTGGGGCATAAATTACAGCCCAGAGATGGACTTAATTTGAAGCATGAGCACTAGTCTTATATGTCGCCATCTCAACCATCAGGTGAGATGGCTCTCACTTATCTGAAGGCAGTTCTACAGAGAAGGGGCAGCTTTGTGGTATTAGTGGCTAATGCTCACAGTAGCTGGGGACACTGGCTCAGAAAAGGAGATCTTGTTGGTGGCACAGACAAAATCCATTCCATGAGATGATTTGCTCAATGCCACCAGCTAGTTAGCAGTGGAGTTAATATGTAAGTGAAGCATTCTGACTTCAGATCTTGAGCTCTTAGCCACCAACGTAAATACAAAAAGTCCTTAATAGGACTTAATTCTTATCAGCATACAATTTAGTAATTGTAAAAAAATGACTTTCTAACAGCCAGATGCTCATCATCAATGGTATATAAAAAATTACCAGGAGGCTAAATGTTCATGTGCATTTACGTGATGGCAGGAATAATTTAGATCAGAATTTATCTCATCATTATTTAATAAGTATTTTTTATGCATCTTCAATATATTATGCACCATTCTGGGTACTGGAGATTCCATGGTAAACCAACTGACAAGGTTTCTCCTTTTTCTAGAATTTATATTCTATCGAGAAAACAATAATAAGTCAAATAAATACATATATGCAATATAATATAAATAAGATATTTTGAATCAAAATAAAACAGTGTAAGGGGTTAGAGAATTACTGTGGATTTTTAAATTTTAGGAGTGAGAAGAATATACTAGGAAATTTTATCTTTGTTTTCTTTCCAACAACTCTGGGCCCGATGGAAATATATTTTCCCCCCTAGAGCAACGCCTAGGAAATTATTTTATCTCAATATCCCGAGTGCTCAATTCCCTATCATCAGCAAGATAAAGGTTATGGATTCTTGGAAATAGTCAAATGCAGTGTTTCACTATGGAACTAATTTTTGGTGGGAGTTTTCCACCAGCTGTTGACAGTATTTCATCAATGCATTCAGAGTATTTGAGAAAAAATATGAAACTCTTCTTTCAATCAATTAAAAATAAAAATCAAATTCCAATTTCTCTTTAGGGAAAATAAAATAGATTACTATGTCCAGTAATCTACCTTGGAACTAATGCTGTTTCAGTTGGAATTCAGGTTTCAGGCTATTTATGATGATCCAAGACATCGGTGATGATATGATCAAGTTGTCTTTGAAAGAATATCATGTATAGCTATTTTAAGTTGATAGTGTCAGTAGCCGTATTTTTTTGTTGTTGTTTCAAATAGTTAATCTATAAAGTAGTGAGGTGAAAACTGAAGACAGTGTGCAAGGAACAAGAAGAGTAGAAAATGAGTCTATTATCTGGACCTAAAATTATTTAACTATGTTAAAGTAAATATTTATTATATTCTCTTTAGTTTGAGAATCACGTGATGTTATGTAACAGAAAACCGTAAGCTTTTAGCCCATTAATTTAGCTTTGCTGAGAGATCATCAAACTGAAGCCAGAATGAAAAAACACATACACAAATGCACACACACATGCTTAAGAAAACAGATTATGGCATAGGCACTTTAAAGAGGTAAAGCCCCGAGCTGTAGCCTGCTTATTATGGTTAAAAACTAGAAACGTTTGCAAACTATTCACCTTGAAAACACTAGGCATACAAAATAAAATCCCTGTTGGAGTCATTTCCTATCCAATTAATATTTGTTCCATATCTTGTTACCATGAAAGCTTTACAGCTAGTTTACAAGATGTACCCTTGAGACATCTTGGTTTTAAGAGATTTTTAGTAGTTGCTGTGAAATGTAACCTACTTTTTATGACTCCACTTATGGGACTCTGTGACTTAGCTAGTATATACATGATTTGAATTTACCTACTCAAGAAACATCAAAGGGCTTTTTCTCCCTTTTTCCATTCATGTTTGATTGTAATAAAAAGTATATTCTTAGCAGATCCCTTTTCTAAAAACACAAATAATAAAATATTTTATCCAACAAAGTAACCTTTTAGATACTCTATTTACTATTTGTTTGCATCTATTGGTGTAAACATCTTATGATAAGGGATGATACTCCATAAGAAAATATGTTTAGAAATAATTAGATATAGAGAAAATGTTTCTTTCCTAACAGAATGTCAATAAGGAAGAGTCAATTATAATCTATGCTGCTTCAAAAAGCCAGAAATAAAATAATAGTTAAAAGAACTAGAGCTAAGATAAGAGGATCATTATTTAATGAAATCATGTTTGCAGTGCCCTGACCAGAATCCCAGATTCAGGACCCAAACATATTCCTGGTCTTCATTCTAGGTGTTGGATGCGATGACTGCAGAACAACTGAGTTCTTTCCCAGGATGGCCCTTGGCTGAAGAGAGCTGCCTCACCCAAGTTTATACTTTCTCCCTGGGAAAGCTCATTCCAGGGATTTATCTATGCAGTAGGTCTGCTCTCTTTGCCCTGACTTCAGGTTATCTTTTCTTTTTTTTAAATTTATTTATTTTTATTTTTTAAATGGACAGGTAAGATTCTATGTAATTATTGTGTACAACATGATATTTTGAAGCATATATTTACAAAGTCAGATGACTAAAACTAGCTAACTGACATGTGCATTAATCACCTCACAGAATTATTATATTATTTTGGGGGGAGAACACTCAACATCCACTCTCTTAGCATTTTTAAGAATATAATATGCTGTGATTAACTACAGCTACTGACGGCAGCGGCGGGCCATCTGGAATGGCCATGACGCTGGATGCAGACGGGAGGCATGGCCGGGCCCCCACTCTCCACTGAGCAGGCAGAAGCCTCGTCCTCCTCAAGTTCCACTGAAGATGCCCTGGTGGGCTCCAGACTTTGGAGTCTCTGAGCTTTGGGGGGCCTGGGAAGTCCCCCCCTTCCCCCCACAAGCTTGGAAGTGCCTGCTCCCATTGCCTGGTTTCTCCCTGCTGTCAGTGCCCATTTTGATTTCAGAGGCATGGTCAGAGCTGTACACTCCACAGACCCTGTGGGAGCCAGGGACAAGAGGGAGCCCTGCCCTTCTAAGTTGGCTGGACAGGAACTCCCCAAGTGTGGGTGCAGCTGCAGCCTATCCGAGCACAGCTGTGGATCCAGACACTTCTGTGCTCTTGGGGCCCCAGGAAGGACCCCCTTGCCCCCCAGCAACAGGTTCATAAGTGCCTGCTCCCACAGTCTGGCCTCTCTCCACTCCAGGTGCCCACTCTGATCATGGAGCAAGGTTGGGGCCAAGCCCAGTGTTGTCACAGCCCAGCTGGGTAGGCACACACTCAAGATAGTGCTGAGACACCAGCCCTCAGCTGCCTCGTCTCCCTCTGGACTTTGGGCACCAACAAGCGTGGGAAGTACCTGAGGGCAGCTAGGCACTGGCCTGCAGGTGCCCCTTGGTGCAAGCAGCCTGGGTGCCACGGACAGCGGCAGGAGGCAGACAGGCTCCTGGGCAAAAGTGGGTGGTCCCCAGTGAGGCCTGACCTTGAGCCCAGGGAGGGCCTGAAGGGGCTGGGGGCCAGGCTGCCAGTCCTGCAGACTGGAGTGGGAACTTGTGGTGCCTTTTGAGCATGCCCATGGACCAAGTGGCATGTGCTTCCACCCCTCTGAGGCCCATAAAAGCCCCAGGCTCAGCCACAGCAAAGCAGACATCTGGACGACCAGCTGCAAAGAGGAGCTACGCTCTCCAGGGCCTCCTCCCTGCTGAGAGGAGCAGATATTGGGACAACCAGCTCCGGAGAGGAGCTACCCTCTCCAGGGCCTCCTCTCTGCTGAGAGCTGCAGATAACAGGATGGCCAGCTGTGGAGAGGAGCTGCCCTCTCTGCTGAGAGCTGAATACTTGGGAAGACCTGCCCACAGAAAGGAGCTACCCACTACAGGTCTCCTCTGGGCTGTTCTAACATTCAATAAAGCTTCTCCTCATCTTCCTCACTATTCACTTGTCCGCATACTTCATTCTTCTCGGATGCAGGACAAGAGCTCTGGCAAAGGTGCCACCAGCCACAGAGGCTTCCAACCAGAAAAGCAACACCCCAAAATCCCAAAACATTACCATGTTGTATAATAGATCTCTCAAACTTCCTCCTATCTAAATGGAATTTTGTATCCTTTAATTAACATCTCTCTAACCCTCCTCCCCCAACCACCCCAGCCCCCGGTTACCACTATTCTATTCTCTATGTCAATAAGATCAGCTTTTTTAAGATTCCACACATAAGTGAGATCATGCAATATTTGTCTTTCTGTGCTGAGCTTATTTTATTTAACGTAATGTCCTCCAGGTATATCCATGTTGTCCCAAATGACAAGATTTGCTTCTTTTTATGGCTTCAAAATATTCCATTGTGTGTATATACCACATTTCATTTATCCATTCATCTGTTGATGGACACTCAGGTTTACTCTACATCTTGGCTGTTGTAAATTATGCTGCAGTAAACATGGTAATCCAGATAGCTCTTCAACATACTGATTTCATTTTGTTTGGATATATACCTAATAGTAGAATTGCTAAATCATATTGTAGTTCTATTTTTAATTTTTTAAGAAAAATCCATACTTTTTTTCATAATGGCTATACTCTTTTATATTCCCACAGTGTGCAAGAGTTCCTTTTCCTTCACTTTTTTTTTTTTTTTTGGAGACTGAGTCTCACTTTGTCACCCAGGCTGGAGTGGAGTGGCCCAATCTCAGTTCACTGTAGTGTCCACTTCCCAGATTCAAGCTATCCTCCTGCCTCAGCCCCTCAAGTAGCTGATAATACAGGTTCACACCACCACGCCTGACTAATTTTTGGATTTTTTTGTAAAGATGGGGTTTCGCCATGTTGCCCAGGTTGGTCTTGAACTCCTGGACTCAAGCAATCCCCCTACTTGATCCTCCCAAAGTGCTGGGATTATAGGCATAAGCCATCATGCTCAGCCCTTTTCTTCATCTTTAAGGAGTCATTCAGGCTTTGGAGCTCCTGTGGGGTTGGTGGAAGCCATTGTTGTACCTACATCTCTTTTCCAACTTGCCTTCTGCTTACTCCTGCTATCCTTGTTTCTTACAGGTGACAATCTCAAGAGATGTCCCCAGTAAATCTTTTGAATACAAATCTTCATCTAAGAGTATGTTTCTTGGTGAATTTGACTTACAAAATATGAATTATATGAAACAGGCAGCACTTAATCATAAACATATCTGACTCACTTTTCATCTAAGATTAAAAATATCATTTTTGTCATAGAGCACTTGTTTTAATCAGTATGCAAAAATTGTGCTTGCCACCATTCTCTACATCAAGTTTTCATTCAACTCTAAAAATTGTGGTAAATTTTATGACCCTAAGAGAAACTAGTGTTTTCAGTGCTCTGACCAGAATCCCTGTGTCAGGACTCAGACTTATTCCTGACACCCATTCTAGGTGCCAAGAATGATACCTAGGTTGCCTTAGTTGTAGTCAAATGGCTAGAAGCCAGTTGCAGGTCCCAACTGTACTACAAGAGTGCTAATACTAGAAGACAGTAGTTATTAGGGAGAGAGGATTGTTCTCAGGGTCTGTCTACCACAGAGACTATGGTTCACTATGTCACGATTCTCCATTTTTGGATTTGAGTTCCACCCCTGCATTCTTAGAGCCTCTCAGATTTGTTCAAATATGAAACTCTAGCCTCTTGGTCAGGGTTGGGTTGGGGAGGAGGGCGAAAGACCATTACCTGATTCTGCAAGCTTTGGAATTTCAAAGGTTTTCTGTCAAGTGCAACCACTTTCTATATATTCAGTATTACACCTTAACTCACCCTAGGAATTACCTGTTTTCTCTAAGAGGCTGAGTTTGCATGAGCTTTTTAGGGTCTGGTGGCCTACTTCTTTATCAAATTCCCATCAGACACCTAATATTGTAGATTCTTATTCCCTGCTGAGTCAGTTCCTCTCCTGCATTTGTGATTTAATCAAAGTCTGCTGAAATTTCTGAATTGTAGTTGAGTCTACTTCAATTCCCTTTTGTCTTTGTGGGGTTATTCCTTCTTTTTATGTTGTTTTGCCATTATTTTAAAGAGGCTAGTGGTGGGGGAGACAACATAAACATGTATGGTACATGTGTCCTATTTAACTGGCTGTTTCTCTTTCAAATGTTGTATTTTGTCTTTCTTCATGCTGCTCCAGTTTTCCCTGTACCCAAATGACCCCTGGGACAAGACCAGGATCATTTCTACATAACCCCACAACACAAGAAGCATCTTTAAATATTTTTGCCTTATCAAATACAGAAGTAAAATTTAAACAAACAACAATGACAAAGATGAATAAATAGCTGCAACTGGGTGTGGAAATATTTAGGGCAAGGAGCAGTTACGGTCAGAGCCAGTATCATCTTCAAGAGGAATGTGATGGGGAGCTTTAAAGCCTGCAATACCTATGTCCTTCTGAGGAAGCCCATTTCTAAGCCAAAGAGATAGTCCTGCCCTCTGGCCTTCAATAGGTCACTATTACATATGAGGCAATAGTTTGTCATATTTCACAAAATTAAACTATGCAAACTTTGTAACAACACATGATATATCAATAAGGTTGAACTGTTACAAGCGGACTGCTATCCTTTTCTAAGTACGAGAGGATCAATAGGACTGCATTCCTTTTTATTGTGTATCAGCAGCTCTGCTCAAAATCACAAATGACCAAATGTATAATATGCTCATAATCATGATCTTCCCTTTAAAAAAGGCAATATAATATCAGTAAAGGAAACGCAAATCAAGTAAGAGGAAAAATGTTTGTGCAGACTTAGTTCTGATAAACATAACCAACTTAAAGTGCTAGAAACTCTGTATAATATGTCCTGAGTACCCTCTGTTTTGGTCAGTTTGGGCTGCAACAATATGCCATAGACTTACAAACAACAGAAATATATTTCTCACAATTCTGGAGTCTGGGAAGTCTAATATCAAGGTGGTGAAAGACTTAGTGTCTGGTGAAGGTCATCGGTAACTTCAGGTGGTAGAAAGGGATAAACAAGCTCCTTTGTTCCACTTTTAGGAGGGCACCAATCCCATTCATTAGGAGACACCTTCATGATCAAATCGCTTCTCAAAGGTCACACTGCTGATACCATCACCTTGAGGATTAGAATTGCAACATATGTATTTTTGTGGGGACATAATTATTCAGACCACAGCACCTTCCTCACTCCAAATCAACTGGCATGTACTGGGTTTGAACTTACGTAACTAAAATCCTATTGAGGTGAAAGTTTCATGGTACACAAGCAAGCCAGGTGTCCCAAAATAAATTCAAGTTTCCATTTCTTGGGCTAGAGAGAATGCTTACAGATTTAACATGGCATTTTTTCTAGGTCCCAGTATTAAGGATTTTTAAATATATTGAGATCCATTCTCATTCATTGTCTTAAGAGTTATGGTAATATATGCAACATATGGGAGTATGCATGTGTGTGTGAGTGTGTGTGTGTGTGTGTGTGTGTGTATTTGAGGAAAGTTTATCTTTCAATTATTTGCTGACTATGCATCTAACAACAATTATCTGCATGTTTCATATGAGAACAAAGGAAGAAATTCAAGAACATGATTTGGCCAAGTTGGTGCTACTCTGATTAAGTCCTCTGGTTCCAATATTTATAGTCTTATCACAAATAGTTCAAGGCTCCTAAAGAGATGGGTCTAAAAAAAACCCACTATTCTGCTTTTGTAATTAACATAAAGACTTATAGGGACCATAGATTATTCTCATGGTACCCTTGTGAGTAAATAGTCTCAGACTGATTCAGCTGACCTGTGGCAGAAGCTCAAATTGAAACAAGAAATTATGACCCCAGGTCGGCATCTCTGTTAAATTGAGAACGTTCTGTTTTCTATTTGCTGTAAGCTACATCTCAAAACTTCAAAATGTACTTTAAAAATTTCTATGTTCTTATTCAGCAATTTAGAAACCCTCGGATGATTTTTTTTTCTGTTGACTATCAACTTCATACAGTGAATACTAATCTTAGTTTTAGAAAAAAATGCAAATCCTAGCATTTCTTTAATCTGGTATGTCTTTTAAGTGAGCTGTTGAAACTTAGGAAAAAAAGTGACTGCACCCAGTGATTATTTGGAAAAAAGAATGACCTCAAGAACTTGAAATTAAATGCATGAAAGGAAATACATCATATATTTTTTTCCTCTGGGTGATGACAGGACTTAAAATGCAAAATGCTACACTTGCCTGGAAAAACTACCTATTTAAAAAAAAATTAGATTTTAAACGATCTCCTGGGTACTACTATGTTACTCAGGACTGTCGACACAGAGAAATGAGGCATTCTACTTACTGAAATGTTGAGAAATGGCCCAAACGGTGCCAAGTGCATGTCCCTTACTGTGAACCATTCCCCCATTCCCTGCACTCTGGCCCAATTACGAGGAATAGCCATTACTATGCCAAATTTGGAGAGTTGAGCTGCCAGGCCAGAAGTGTCCCTTGATGGTTTCCTGCGTACTCATTCAAGAGAATGAACATACAATTGTTTACTGTGATAAGATGATACTTTATTCACTCTTGTAAAAGCCATCTAAAACAATCTTCAAACTTTCCAGCACCATTTGAATAGTGATATGTATCATTTAATCTGTGCCAAACTCAAAGTTACAAAGCCTTATTCCTGGCAATGACTACAAAAAATTTCCATTTACTATGAAAACTAAAAGAACACACAAAGTTTCAGTCTTCTTCTCTGGGGTGTTTTCAATGGATTAATACAATGTGTTATTTCTGAATAAATACATCCTTCTGTTCTTTTATGTAATCCTTTTTTATATTAGAATCACAAATAATGTATAAGGATAGTTAAAATTAATATTATTTAGTGCATAAAACTCTACTCATAGAAAGAATATTAAAATATGTATTTTGACTGATTATAAATGATCATTTAGTATGGCAAATTTAGAAAACAGAGGAAAATAAAAATATGACAGCAAAATATAACCTGAAATTCCTACACTAAGAATTAGAAGCCGTGTCATCATTTCTGTGCATTTATTTTCAAATGTGTGTGCATGTGTATGCACACATTCTTTGTATATATGCTTCTATGTATTTACATCATCACAATTTTTAAAACCACACTGTGTAAATTAATATTTAAGTTTACATTTACAAACAAAATTTTTAAGGTACCTGAAATCTTGTGTGCAGATAAATTTTGCAAAAAGCTTTAGTCAGAAAACATTTATTTATAATCATAAATAATGGTCAAACAATGCAATAAGCATTGGTCAAGCAATGTTATAGAGTAATGTATATGTAATGACTTAAAAAGTCTTTATATCCTAAGGCCATTTTATTCAGATCAGAATATTTGATTTAATGTATAGAAGTTCTGACCTTCATTTATCTGCTTCTGTAAGATAAATCAAATAAGTTGAAGACATCACATATTTTTCTTACTAGGCCTCAATAGATTCAAAACATTTCTTTATTATTATACAATTTACATACACCAAATTGCACCCATTTTAACTATCAGTTCAATGAGTTTTGACATATATGTACAATTGTGCAATCACCTCCCTTACCAAGATATAGAATATCTCCATCATTCCAAATAGCTCCCTTATGCCTCTCTGCAGTGACTTTCCACCCACGACTAGCCCAACGCACTACTGGGCTGCTTTCTGTCATTATATATTAGTTTTACAAAGGACTTGTGAAATGCAGTTTATTTTATAAATAGTCCCAGATGGACCCCTAATCAAGAAAGAATTTCAGTTAAGCCAAGAGGTCACTATGAGAATTAAATTCTAAAAGTAAAGAGAAATATAAAATTTCTTACTGTTCTTTCCAGCATCAGATATTAGCCATTAGAGAAAAATACCATTTTGTGAATAATAGACAAGAATATAAGGATTTGCCTTGTTCTTATTTGTAGTCTCCTTTAATACTTAATGATGAAACAATGCATTATTTTAATAGTCTACAGATAACATATAATCTTTATTTCTTCTCAATAAGTTGAATTTTGAAAATTAGTAATTTCAATTATTACATTAGACAATGGTGGGAAGACATGTTTTGCCTCTGGTTTGTCCAAGTCTAAAGTATTTCACCTTTAGTAGATACATTTCTCAGCGACAAATGTCACATACACACACACACCCTAAAACAGAATGCAACACTTTAAGGCAACGAAAAGAAACGTTTGTTTGCTTTGGGAGTATGATTTCTAAACCATGGATCCGTTTAAATTTTTGATGAGATAATTCTTTGTTGGGAGTTGAGGGGTTGAGGAAGGCAGGAAGTTTACTACATGCCTGGTCTCTACTCACTAGATGTCCATAACTAACAAGCCCCCACCAGCCACGCTAATCAAAAATGTCTCTGGATACTGCCAGTTGCCCTTTGATAGCAAAATCACCCCTTTGGAGAACTACTTTATACAGTGTTGGGAGTGTACTTTTCCTTTTTTTAAAATTATATTAGGATAGCAATAAGCCAGGAAATGTATAGAATCAACATGCAGCTTATAAAAGTATTACATTCATGTTCTCATACATTAACATTCTTTGCATACAAAGATACTAATGGTATGCTCATAAATACAGTGGCAATATGTACTGTGGGAATGACAGATAAAGCTGGAATTATTTAACTTATCTATTTGCTTTTTAATAAGAAGTGTGATGGAAAGATTTACTGCCTCTCTTAAAATTCATTAGGAAAAGCTTCCAGAAGGCAGAATAATAATTTTTTTTTGTGCAGCAATAATATACAATAAGACAATCATAAGACAGCAGATTTCCCCTGACTTGGCCCACTATGTACAAAGGTAACACGTTCAGTCATTGCAGCGCAAAGCACTTGGAGAAACAAACAAACAAGAGCAAGCCACTGAAATTTTGCGATGGAGGAAGCCCTCTATTAGATCACAAAAGTCAGTATCAGCAGCTTATATTTAGCAAATTGTTCAGAACAGTGCTTGTGACTTCATATCAGTACAAACTAGAGATAACCTTTCACTATAATAAAGAAGCAATTAGATCATCACTCCTGAAATACACATATGAAATTAAGATTAATGTCCATATTTTAAATTCCTTTAATACATCTCTATTTTTCCCTTGACTCAGAATTCAAATTATTTTACCATGAGAGGAAATACTTCAGGACAATTTACACTCTTGTGATTGATAACTAAGGTCTTCTGAAATCCCCCATTGGAAATTGACTTATTCCTTACCAAGTAAATAGGGTGCTGAGAAATGTATTTTACCCTTTTACTCAAGATGATCATGTTTACCCTCAGCAATTTCCAAATAAGAACTTACTCATCTTGGCCGGGCGCGGTGGCTCACGCCTGTAATCCCAGCACTTTGGGAGGCCAAGGTGGGCGGATCACGAGGTCAGGAGATCGAGACCATCCTGGCTAACACGGTGAAACCCCGTCTCTACTAAAAATACAAAAAATTAGCCGGGTGTGGTGGCAGGTGCCTGTAGTCCCAGCTACTCGGGAAGCTGAGGCAGGAGAATGGCATGAACCTGGGAGGTGGAGCTTGCAGTGAGCCAAGGTCGCGCCACTGCACTCCAGCCTGGGTGACAGAGCAAGACTCCATCTCAAAAAAACATAAAAATAAAAACAAAAAAATACTATGCTCCTATGCTGTTGTCATAGTTGCCATCTCAATATACCGAGAGTAGAAGTGTCCACATCATTTTTTTCGTAGAGTAGCCTTTTTAGTAAGTTATTTTCCATTTAAGTCTTCATAATGATCTTAAAGTTGCTACATGGGAAAGAGTTCAATGTTCCAACTTTATTTTTCTTCTAATTCCTGATAATATTCTATTAATAAAAATAATTTAAAGAGCATTTCAAACTTCCACCTCCAGTCACACACACACACAATTACAATTTGATAGTCTGTTTTCCCTTCTCAACTCTTTTGCTTGTATATACTAATTTAAATACCAAATTCACAGACTAAAGAATTAATGGTATGCATTAATAAATGTATTAATTATTCACTCCTTCATGAAAAACTAAGACTATTTCTTTTACTCTTAAAAGCATAGATAGCCTTAAATAGAATGGATTTATATCAAAGGGGATTCCCTAACATGTGACATGACACTTTACTCTGGCTGTTTTTAGAATTTCCTTTTTGTCTTTGAATTTTGACAGTTTGACTATAATGTGACTCAGACTGTACCTTTTTGGGTTGAATCTGTTTGGGAATCTTGAGTTTCCTGTTCCTGAATGTTTATATCTCTCTAAGACTTAGAAAAATTTCAACTATTATTTTATTAAATAGGTTTTTGATATAGTTTGGATATGTGTCCCCACCCAAATCTCATGGCAAATAGTAATCCCTGATAAAAGAAAAACTTTAGCTGAATTAAATTTAAAGGAGTTTAATTGAACAATGAATGATTCACAAATTAGGCAGCCCCAGAATCACAGCAGATTCACAGACTCCAGTGCAGCCACGTGCTGGAAAAAGATTTACAGACACAAAAAGGGAAAGGACATACAAAAATTGGAAATGAGGTACAGAATGGCTGGACCGGTTACAGGGTGGCATTTACCTGATTTGAACACAGTTTGAGCACTTAAAAGTGTATGAATGGTTGAAGTACGGCCACTCGGAATGGCCAAGACTCGGCTATTGTTACAGGTGCATACTCCTCAGTTAAGTTTTCAATTTTGTCTACCTATTAAGTGAGATTGCCGTTCGTCCACAAGGACTCAACTATAGAAGTAGAGAGTCCTTCTCAGGCCATAGTTTACTTTAACATCCCCAGTGTTGGAGGCTGGGCCTCATGGGACGTTACTGGATCATGAGGGTGAATTTCTCATGAATGGTTTAGCACTATCCCCTTAATGCTGTTGTCATAATAGTGAGTAAGTCCTCATGAGATCTGATTATTTAAAAGTGCGGACCAACTCCTCCCTTGCTCTCTCTCTGTCTCCTGATCTGGCCTGTAATGTGTCTGCTCCCCCTTCACCTTCCACCATGATTGTAAGTTTTCTGAGGCCTCTCCAGAAACTGAGCAGATGCTACTATGTTTCCCATACAGCATCTGGAACCATGAGCCAATTAAACTTCTTGTCTTTGCAAATTACCCAGTTTCAGGTATTTCTTTATAGCCACGTGAATATGAACTAATACAGTTTTCTACACATTTTTTCATCTCTTCTTTTTCTGGATCACCCAAAATGCAAATATTTGTTTGCTTAATAGTGTCCCATATGTCATGTAGGCTCTTTTTTTTTTTTAATTATTTTCTGCTTTTTTTGTCTGACTGTGCTATTTCTAAGGGCCCATCTTCAAGATCAAAAATTATTTCTTCTGCTTGATCTAGGCTGCTGTTGAAATTCTCAATTTTATTTTTTATTCCATTCTTTGAATTCTTCAGTTCCAAGAATTCTGATTGGTTATACTCTCTTTCTCTCTCATACACATATATATACACATACACACACACACACACATATATATACACATATATACATATATATACACATATACACACATATATATACACATATATAGTGTGTGTGTGAATATATCTATCTATATATATATATCTTTGTTGAATTTCTCAAATTATAAATTGTTTTTCTATTGTCACTGAATTGTCTATCTGTGTTCTCTTGAATCTTGCTAAGTTTTTTAAGATCATTATTTTACATTCTTTTTTATACATCTTATAATTTTATTTTCTTTAGGGACTATCATTGAGAAATTATTAGGTTGCTTTGGAATTGTCATGTTCTTTTGCTTGTTCAAGTTTCTTATAACCCTACATTGACACCTATGCATCTGATGTAATAGTCATTTCTTCCAGTTTCATGAGGTAGGTTTTTTAGGGAAAGATTTTTTCCTGTATATGTGTTTCATGGTGTCTGTTAGGTAGGATGTTTTTGCTTTGGTTCTGGGTAGACAAAGTAATGTGGTATCCATAGAATTTTTTCAGCTATAGTCAATGTCAATAATGTTTGTTAATGCCTCACAGTGGCCTAAGCTCTGGTTTTTTGGTGAGGGTTGTGGCCCAGCTTTGCTGGGGATGGGAATGCCAAGTAGGCTGATCCTCAGGCTCCTGAGTGGCATGTGTATGTGCTGGTGGTGGCAGTGCAGGCCCAGGGTAGGTTGGTCCTCAGGCTCCCGGGTGTCACATGAGGATGCAGGGCAGTCCAACTGCTGGAGGGGCAGGTTCACTGGCAGTGTCGGCAGCAGGCCCTGAAGCCACTGTTTGGTTCATGCACATGCTGGTGGTGCAATGGAATGCCCAGGCATCCAACTTCTTGTGCCCCTGGGTGGTGTGCATGTGCACTGGCGGTGTGGCAACAGGCCCTGAGAAGCTGGTCCTTGAGCCTCTGGGTAGTGTGTGTGGGCATGCAATGTTCCTGCCACTGGAGGTGGCAGGTTTGCAGGCAACGGTGGTGGAGAACTCCAGGTAAGTTGATCTTTAGGTCACTGGGTGACATATGTGAATACTGGTGGTGGCAGTGGTGGGCCCAGATAAGCCAGTCCTTGGACCTTCAACCACACACACAGTTGTGTAGTAGGTCTGCCACTGGAGGGTGGGGCCTTGGTGGCTGGCAATGGTGAGCTCTGGGCAGGCAGCTCTCAGGCTCTGGGGAGCCAGGTGTTGGCTCCCTCTATACTTGGGGCAGCCTCCCTGCTGTGCTGGACCACCTATTTCCCTAGGTGTAGAGTGCCGTGGAGACTCAAGTGTTGTTGTAGATGTACCTCTACGTCCAGCTGGTTTCACAAGGCCGCAGCCTTCCGTGTAGATGTGAAGGAATGCTGGTAGGGCCCCAAAAATATGGAGATGAAGGAGATATTGGGCCCAGGGTAGGATGCACTCTGGTGGTGCTTCTGTTCCCAAAATTCAGACGTGCTACAGCAGCCTGGATCCTGGGTGTAGGAAGGCCTATCATGAATTTCTTCTCTGAAGAAATGCAGTTGCATGAACTTCAAGCAGCTCCCTGCACTGGTCCCAGGGCCATGAGCATTGAGGGTCTCACCCATAACTAGGATTGCTTGTCTCTGTGGCAGGAACTGGGTTTCTGTGAATCTCCTGCTTATCTTTTCCCTGTGATGGGGAATCCCTCAACTATGCTGCCATTTTGAATTTTTGTGCCTCAGGGAGTCTTGTCACTTCCTTGCTGAATTTCAGTGTTCTCCCCTAGACACTCAATTCAACCTGTGGTTTTCTGTTTCTTCTTTTGGTCTTTGCGGAGAAGGAGATGCACGCAGGGTGCCTCTAGTCAGTCATCTAGATCTTAGAAATAATTTTTTAAATTTTACCAAATTAGATAAACCAGAAGTGAACTGGAAATTATAATGTGTCAAAAACAGCAGCCATAATGGGGTCACCCTTTAATAAATTTTTATCTAACCTAGTACCTATGAATGAGAACCATTAACACTGCCATGATAATTCAGGTCTGGGAAGACACAGCTGTTGGTTTGAAATTTTAAGAAAAGTTTCATGGAGGTAATTGGACCTTAAAGAATCATAGGGATTTCAAAGTATCAAGAAAAGATGTTACGAAAGTCTTGGAAAGTGGCAGGTAAGAAGGAAATAATGAAATTTTAAAATCATACCAGGGCCATTCAGAGGGCAGATGAGGGGAGGAGGGAGAGGATTAGGAAAAAATAACTAATGGGTACTAGGCTTAAAACCTGGGTGATGAAATAATCTGTACAGCAAACCCCCATGACACAAGTTTACCTATGTAACAAACCTGCACTTGTACCCCTAAACTTGAAATAAAAGTTAAACTATAAAGCAAATACATTCACAGAAACTAAAAAAAAAAAAAGCCTGTGTTCTACTTGAGAAGATATTAACTAGACTTTAATTTTTGGCTTCTTTTATAACCTGTTCACGATAAGAGGAAAACTTGTTAAAATTAAATCTTCTAAGCATAGGACTTGCAGATGTGGAAAAAATGTAATAGAAAGATATTTTCAATTCCTTCTTGGCTAAATGTACATACTTGTAGCCAATATTCAAGAAAGAGGAGGAAAGAAAAAAAAATTGTTTTCTTATGCCTTAGAGTAAAAAGAATTATCTCAATGTTCTCTCTTCCAACAAGTGGTGACCTGGCAGTATAGAAAGGTGCCTCCTGGTAGAACACATTCTGCAAGACTTTTGTACTTACATAAAATGAAAAAGAAAGTCTATGGTTTAGCGACTAATGTTTATATGAATCCAGATTTTATGATGCCACATGAATTACTGCTGAGATGACAATAGAACTCAACCTATGTAAATACATTTTACCCCAGTCCTCTGAAACAGAAATTTGTCTCAAATTAACACACTGACTTTGTTATCTGCGAAGATCCATCATCTTTGAATTAGATGTTATCATGGCTAACTAGGGAACTGAATTCAAAATAACGTCATTTCTGAAGCAGAAAAAAGAAATAATAGAGACCTATGTTCGTTTCCACTACACCGTGTCATCTACAAACAATGGAAAACAGCCCACAAACTTGAATTTAAAATAACTTTTTAAAAAAATATACAGGTAACTAGTCAAGAGAGAACAATACCAGACAGGCCAGGAGTGTTAAAAAAAAAACAAAACAAAAACAAGAAAATTACTCTTTTGGAAAATGTAACACCTAGAAAATAGATCTTATAAAATAAAAGACACAAGAAATAAAAACCTAACTAGACTAAATCTATACAAGAAATAAAAGCCTAACCAACAGTATGGTGGCTCCAATTGGAAAGATCATATGTCGCCTTTCTACAGATTTTAAAAGCAGAAATTTCAGGGAATGTAGGTTGGGAAGAAAAGGATTCAGTACTCGTCACAGCAATTAGACATAGATCAGATTAATATTAAAGTAGCATTCCCCAAAAAATTTGTGGTTTGACTTACCAATTAATTGTAACTTTTCAAGATATTCTACCCAAATATAGTATTTTAAATTATAACTCTGATGGATTAATATGATTTAAGATGGATTAACATGATTTAAGAATTATTCAATAACCCTTACTATGTGCAAGTTATTGATAAAACTATTAATTGTTTAGAACTTGTTACTCAAAATTGCCACTATGTATAACATTTTTATTTTCATTTATAAAAACTGACTTAAGTCAAAGCGATTAATTATTTTCTACAATGACCTGTGTTAGCGAAGTATATTTAGGTTATTATCAAATAACCTAAATATAGTGTAACCTGAATCAAGTGTAACTAGTTTAAGGTTAAAATAAAAAATAAGAGTATCTTTGGGAGTCCAGAACTAGAATGTTGCAAAATGGAACTAAGCAATAGAAACATTAAGGAGGTGAGGGAGACATTTGTTATTTTTCTGGACTTGTTTCTCATTTTCACTTTTTTACAGATAGGCATTTTTTGCTGCTATTAAATTGAGATGAGACGCCATACCATCTCAGAATTGGGACACGGCAACCTCAGGAACCCTTCCTCGCCTCTCTTCTGATAGCAGCCCAGGCTGGAGATAACCTCAGAGCCCTCATTTCAAGCTTCACAGGGAGTAGGTCTCTACCAGCTCCACTTTTGTCAAGTGCTACTTTCATCCAATCAACTATGTTCTACTTTGGATGGGGAGACATACTCCAATGGGTAACAGGAACAGAAAAAAAAAAAAAAAAAGCTATTTGTAGCTAAGCAAACATCACCAATAGTGTCTCTTTTTTTTCAAGTTGAAAAAAAAATAAGACTCAGGCATTTATATAATTGGTCAAGACCCCACAGTTGGTAGCAGAGTTAATTTTAGTCTAATATTCTTACTATTACAGCTCCAACTTCAAGATGCCTGTTTATTAGTGAAAGAAATATGTAAAATCATACCTAACCTAAGATAAATTGTTGCTCCTGCTTTCTTTTGTCCAAAAAGTTGATATCTTAATATTGTACAAATTTACTTATTATATCAGAAAGATTTAGCTCTTTTTCCCTCCCTTTCCCACTCGTGTCTGTGTGTGTGTGTGTGTGTGTGTGTGTGTGTGTGTGTGTGTGTGTGTGTGTTATGGTTGAAGAGGAAGAATGTGGCTGTTTTGAAATATTTATCATTGAAATAATATTTATCACGGCATTATCAGCAGGTGACCTGTTAGGTGTTCTTATCACCAAAGTACAATTCAATTTCCTTTAGACTTTAATGCAAATGTGGAGTTTCTATCCTCAAAATGGTATTTCAAACATATATTTGGATATCTTACTACTTATTTAAAAAAAGATGAAAAGACAAATTCCTTGACAGCACAATTTAAAATTCTAAATCCTAAGGACATGATCCTGAAGCTCCCTACTAAAAAAAAATTTTCCTAGGGATTTTACAGTATTTGGTAAATCCTCTTTGCCTTTTAACATGGTGCATGAGTCTACATTTCTTAGCAATTCTGCTTCTACGGATATTGGGGATTTAAGAATGTAAACATAGGAATGGACAATAAGTATAGTTTGTTAAAATATCCAGATCTTGAAAGGTAATTTTGAAGGATTATTCTGCCAATTAGTAAGTATTTCTGAAATGACACAGCAGACAGGAGATAATTCATTGAAATGTCATCCATCCACCCTTTCCCCTTGTGTCACGAGGTGTTTAAATAACTTTGTGAAGGAAGGAGGAAACAGCTGTGCTAAAATTGTGGATTTTATGTCTTTCACTGTTGTGTGTGAAGCTGCCAAAATGAAAGTGTTAATGAAATTAAGACTATGTGAGATTAGAGTATGCAAACGAGCTCATTCTTTGGGTGGGGGCTCCAATGTGCTCTTTTTCTTTCTCACTGTTCACACTGAATACTGAGGGCTAATATGACAAGAACTGTATTTTTTAGCTTAACTCCTAAATCTGGAGTCATGATTGAGCAAAACTAATAGAATAATTCAGTATAGAGTCTGGCCAGTAGCTTATTTTCCCTATGGCTATTCTACTCATTGAATATAAATCGAAAGCATGTAAAACACTTTCAGTGTATTTGGGTGGGTGGGGTACAATTTAGTACAGGGACAGGAGAATAGTTTCTAAGTAAAATAATAGATCTCAAGATACTCTAGGGTTTTAAGATCAGAACCACAAAACTAGACACATAAGATACATACATACATATATCCATATATACATACATACATAGAAAATGAATCAATGGAGAGGTTTATAATGATCACTATAAAATGAGAGTATAAGAAAAGTGAGGTCCCAATCTCAATAGAAACAAGTTTAGCTTCCTGGAATCTTAAATCGCATCTCCAAAAACAACATTCAACACCCAGTGAAACAAACATATTAGCCAATCTTCAGTGCGAATACACAAACAAAAATAAAAGCATTTAATTTAGAAACTATTTAGAGAAGGCATCAGCAAATTTTAGACTAATATCCAGTGGTTACAGGATTATAGACTTTTAGCACCAATAAAAAGCTTAGAATTTAAGCCACCACATCATTGAAGATGGGGGAACCATAATTCAAAGAATTCGATTTACTTAAACAAGATCATACAGCTGCTGAATGACAAAGCAAAATTTATATCTTATGTCTATTCTATTTCCAGTGTTGTTTCTATAAAACTGGTTGATGTTTGATGTCTGGCACTACACTTTCCACTACAAGAAAGGCAATACTTCAAGGAGAAAATATATCATATATCTTTTACTACTGAGATTTAACAGACATGGAGGAAAGGTGATTTTTGTTATCAAATTTACAATGTATTTGGGTATATAAAGAAAACAAAATAAGTACTGGTAGGATCCAGAAAAATGAGTATCATAAATCTGTAGCTACATTATAATTTGTTTAACATTATTTTGTTTGCCTTACTTTCTAGTTATAATCAGTGTTTAGAACTGAAATACTAATCTAGTAGCTAGGTGTGGTTGAGTGAGTAATTCAAAGAAGAAATAGAGAGAATACTATAATGATGTCAATGCTTACAATTGACCAAAAGAAAAATGAAAAAAAAATTAGCCTGCTAGAAGAAGTTGATCTGGAATTCATCCCACAAAAACTAACATGCATTTATCCTCTTCATTCCTTCTTCCTTTTAACACTTAGAAAATATTGCAAAAAAATACATATACAATAATTATCTAAAGAAAGACATTGGGATTACTGCCTAAGAAAATGACCAAAAGTACATTTGCAAACATAAATCAACAGAAGGCTTGTAAAAACACAAAAGAAGGACTGCATTCTTGGGCATCAAACCAGAGGGGTGTTGGTTGCTTCAGAAACTATTTCTCCATTGTGTCTTTTAAATTACCAATGACCCCGGCCATACACTTTTCAAACATCAATAACTAAATGCACATGTTAATGTAATCTTGAAACACGAGAAACGAAATCAGGCAGTTTGATATACAACATACCTTATCTATGCGAAGCAAAAACAGAAAGGGTAGATTTTTAAAAAAAAAACTAGCAACCATTAAGTATATACTATATGTCAGACATTTAGTCCTCAAAACACCAACTATAATATCCACTTCACAGAGAAAGCTCAGAGAGCTTGCGGGTTTTCTTTCCCCTAGAGTTCATATAGCAGAAAGTTGATGTCAAGATTCAAACCTAGGTTCACTTGAGTCCAAAGTATAAGGTCTTTTCAGTATACTTTTTTGTGAAATGATAGATAAATTTCTGGTCTCTCTCTGTCTTTTCTTGCAGGCTTGAAATGACATGGTGATATTTTGAAAAGAAGTTATTTTATTCACTCTAGGTAAATTCACAGTTAATAAGATTTCCTTACCAGAATGATGGAATTAGGAAGCTAACAAATCATTTCCTCAAACAAATGTGAACCATAAAGCTGAACAAAACTGTCAATCATTTCAGATTGCTAAAAATCTGGAAATCAAGCAAAGCTGTATATTAATGTAAGAAGCATTCATGCTTGAGTTCTACTATATTTGGGTAAGACTGGCGTGAGCCTGTGGTGCTCTTGCCCAGGACTGCTCCCATGCCCCTACTATCTCTGTCCATGATATTCCAACTAGGGAGGGACAGGCTGTGAAAACCAGCAGTGTCCCTGTTCTGCCAGTAAGGGCACACAGGATTTAGAGCACTTAATTATTAAAGGTGTGTGATGGTTAATATTACATGTGAAGTTGACTGGGTCATGGGGTGCCCAGATAGTTGGTTAAACATTATCTCTTGGTGTGTCTTGAGGACATTTTCAGAAGAGATTAGCATTTAAATCATTAGACTGAGTAAAGCAGAGTCCTCTTTAATGTGAGTGGGCATCATCCAAGCTGGTGAGGGCTTGAATACAACAGAAGGTGGAGAAAGAGAGAATTTCTTTTCTGCCTGATTGCTTCAGCTAAGTCTTTAGTCTTCTACCCTCAGACTGGGATTGACATCATTGCTGCTCCTTGTTCTCAGGCCTTTGGGTATGAACTGGAACTACACAGATCCTGGAACTCCTCAGCCTCTGAAGTCTGGTAAAACACTCCTTACAATAAAGCTCTCTCTCTTCCTTTCTGTCTCTGTCCCTGTTTCTCTATCTCCATATATATACAGATGGATACACAGATAGATAGATATGTGGAGATATATAGAGTAAGTCCTCACTTAATGTTGACAGGTTCTTGGAAACTGCTACTTTAAGTGAAACAATATGACAACACCAGTTTCTCATTTACATTATAACTAAAAAACATTGAAAAAATGAAGTTCTTTGAGAATCTGCTATATGTATTCAAGGACCACTATATATATAAAATGTATATCTATATATATGTCACATGTATATACTGTGGTACATATATATCTCACACACACACACATATATATACTGTGATATATATGTATATTTATATATATGTGCAGGTGTGTAGGTGTGGTATGTGTGAGATATACATTTAGTCATGCACTGCATAATGATGTTTTGGCTAACAACAAACTGCATATACTATGGTGGTCTCATAAGATTATAATGGAGCTGAATAATTCCTATTGCCTAGTGACTGTAGCTATCATAACATCACAGAGTTACACATTACTCATGTTTTTGGTGATGCTGGTATAAACAAACCCACTGTGCTGACAATCCTAAATAGTACAGCACATACAACTATCTACAGTACATAATACTTGATAATGATCATAAACAACTATGTTACTGGTTTATGTATTTACTATATTAAACTTTCAATCATTATTTTAGAGTATACTCCCTCTACTTATTAGAAAAAAAAGTTAACTGTAAAACAGCCTCAGGGAGATCCTTCGGGGGATGTTCCAGAAGAAGGCATTGTTATTATAGGAGATGACAGCTCCATGCACGTTATTGTTCCAAAAGATCTTCCAGTGGCACAAGATGTGACAGTGAAAGACAGTGATATTGATGATTCTGACACTGTGTAGACTTAGGCTAATGTGTGTATTTGTATCTTAGTTTTAAACAAAAAACTTTGAGAAGTAAAAAAAAATAAAAAAAGTTCATAGTACACAAAATCTTTTTTTTTTTTTTTTTTTTTTTTTTTAATTTAAAACTTTTTTTTTTTTTTTTTTTTTTTTTTATTATACTCTAAGTTTTAGGGTACATGTGCACATTGTGCAGGTTAGTTACATATGTATACATGTGCCATGCTGGTGCGCTGCACCCACTAATGTGTCATCTAGCATTAGGTATATCTCCCAATGCTATCCCTCCCCCCTCCCCCGACCCCACCACAGTCCCCAGAGTGTGATATTCCCCTTCCTGTGTCCATGTGATCTCATTGTTCAATTCCCACCTATGAGTGAGAATATGCGGTGTTTGGTTTTTTGTTCTTGCGATAGTTTACTGAGAATGATGGTTTCCAATTTCATCCATGTCCCTACAAAGGATATGAACTCATCATTTTTTATGGCTGCATAGTATTCCATGGTGTATATGTGCCACATTTTCTTAATCCAGTCTATCATTGTTGGACATTTGGGTTGGTTCCAAGTCTTTGCTATTGTGAATAGTGCCGCAATAAACATACGTGTGCATGTGTCTTTATAGCAGCATGATTTATACTCATTTGGGTATATACCCAGTAATGGGATGGCTGGGTCAAATGGTATTTCTAGTTCTAGATCCCTGAGGAATCGCCACACTGACTTCCACAATGGTTGAACTAGTTTACAGTCCCACCAACAGTGTAAAAGTGTTCCTATTTCTCCGCATCCTCTCCAGCACCTGTTGTTTCCTGACTTTTTAATGATTGCCATTCTAACTGGTGTGAGATGATATCTCATAGTGGTTTTGATTTGCATTTCTCTGATGGCCAGTGATGATGAGCATTTCTTCATGTGTTTTTTGGCTGCATAAATGTCTTCTTTTGAGAAGTGTCTGTTCATGTCCTTCGCCCACTTTTTGATGGGGTTGTTTGTTTTTTTCTTGTAAATTTGTTTGAGTTCATTGTAGATTCTGGATATTAGCCCTTTGTCAGATGAGTAGGTTGCAAAAATTTTCTCCCATGTTGTAGGTTGCCTGTTCACTCTGATGGTAGTTTCTTTTGCTGTGCAGAAGCTCTTTAGTTTAATTAGATCCCATTTGTCAATTTTGTCTTTTGTTGCCATTGCTTTTGGTGTTTTGGACATGAAGTCCTTGCCCACGCCTATGTCCTGAATGGTAATGCCTAGGTTTTCTTCTAGGGTTTTTATGGTTTTAGGTTTAACGTTTAAATCTTTAATCCATCTTGAATTGATTTTTGTATAAGGTGTAAGGAAGGGATCCAGTTTCAGCTTTCTACATATGGCTAGCCAGTTTTCCCAGCACCATTTATTAAATAGGGAATCCTTTCCCCATTGCTTGTTTTTCTCAGGTTTGTCAAAGATCAGATAGTTGTAGATATGCGGCATTATTTCTGAGGGCTCTGTTCTGTTCCATTGATCTATATCTCTGTTTTGGTACCAGTACCATGCTGTTTTGGTTACTGTAGCCTTGTAGTATAGTTTGAAGTCAGGTAGTGTGATGCCTCCAGCTTTGTTCTTTTGGCTTAGGATTGACTTGGCAATGCGGGCTCTTTTTTGGTTCCATATGAACTTTAAAGTAGTTTTTTCCAATTCTGTGAAGAAAGTCATTGGTAGCTTGATGGGGATGGCATTGAATCTGTAAATTACCTTGGGCAGTATGGCCATTTTCACGATATTGATTCTTCCTACCCATGAGCATGGAATGTTCTTCCATTTGTTTGTCTCCTCTTTTATTTCCTTGAGCAGTGGTTTGTAGTTCTCCTTGAAGAGGTCCTTCACATCCCTTGTAAGTTGGATTCCTAGGTATTTTATTCTCTTTGAAGCAATTGTGAATGGGAGTTCACCCATGATTTGGCTCTCTGTTTGTCTGTTGTTGGTGTATAAGAATGCTTGTGATTTTTGTACATTGATTTTGTATCCTGAGACTTTGCTGAAGTTGCTTATCAGCTTAAGGAGATTTTGGGCTGAGACGATGGGGTTTTCTAGATAAACAATCATGTCGTCTGCAAACAGGGACAATTTGACTTCCTCTTTTCCTAATTGAATACCCTTTATTTCCTTCTCCTGCCTGATTGCCCTGGCCAGAACTTCCAACACTATGTTGAATAGGAGCGGTGAGAGAGGGCATCCCTGTCTTGTGCCGGTTTTCAAAGGGAATGCTTCCAGTTTTTGCCCATTCAGTATGATATTGGCTGTGGGTTTGTCATAGATAGCTCTTATTATTTTGAAATACGTCCCATCAATACCTAATTTATTGAGAGTTTTTAGCATGAAGGGTTGTTGAATTTTGTCAAAGGCTTTTTCTGCATCTATTGAGATAATCATGTGGTTTTTGTCTTTGGCTCTGTTTATATGCTGGATTACATTTATTGATTTGCGTATATTGAACCAGCCTTGCATCCCAGGGATGAAGCCCACTTGATCATGGTGGATAAGCTTTTTGATGTGCTGCTGGATTCGGTTTGCCAGTATTTTATTGAGGATTTTTGCATCAATGTTCATCAAGGATATTGGTCTAAAATTCTCTTTTTTGGTTGTGTCTCTGCCCGGCTTTGGTATCAGAATGATGCTGGCCTCATAAAATGAGTTAGGGAGGATTCCCTCTTTTTCTATTGATTGGAATAGTTTCAGAAGGAATGGTACCAGTTCCTCCTTGTACCTCTGCTAGAATTCGGCTGTGAATCCATCTGGTCCTGGACTCTTTTTGGTTGGTAAACTATTGATTATTGCCACAATTTCAGAGCCTGTTATTGGTCGATTCAGAGATTCAACTTCTTCCTGGTTTAGTCTTGGGAGAGTGTATGTGTCGAGGAATGTATCCATTTCTTCTAGATTTTCTAGTTTATTTGCGTAGAGGTGTTTGTAGTATTCTCTGATGGTAGTTTGTATTTCTGTGGGATCGGTGGTGATATCCCCTTTATCATTTTTTATTGTGTCTATTTGATTCTTCTCTCTTTTTTTCTTTATTAGTCTTGCTAGCGGTCTATCAATTTTGTTGATCCTTTCAAAAAACCAGCTCCTGGATTCATTGATTTTTTGAAGGGTTTTTTGTGTCTCTATTTCCTTCAGTTCTGCTCTGATTTTAGTTATTTCTTGCCTTCTGCTAGCTTTTGAATGTGTTTGCTCTTGCTTTTCTAGTTCTTTTAATTGTGATGTTAGGGTGTCAATTTTGGATCTTTCCTGCTTTCTCTTGTAGGCATTTAGTGCTATAAATTTCCCTCTACACACTGCTTTGAATGCGTCCCAGAGATTCTGGTATGTGGTGTCTTTGTTCTCGTTGGTTTCAAAGAACATCTTTATTTCTGCCTTCATTTCGTTATGTACCCAGTAGTCATTCAGGAGCAGGTTGTTCAGTTTCCATGTAGTTGAGCGGCTTTGAGTGAGATTCTTAATCCTGAGTTCTAGTTTGATTGCACTGTGGTCTGAGAGATAGTTTGTTATAATTTCTGTTCTTTTACATTTGCTGAGGAGAGCTTTACTTCCAACTATGTGGTCAATTTTGGAATAGGTGTGGTGTGGTGCTGAAAAAAATGTATATTCTGTTGATTTGGGGTGGAGAGTTCTGTAGATGTCTATTAGGTCTGCTTGGTGCAGAGCTGAGTTCAATTCCTGGGTATCCTTGTTGACTTTCTGTCTCGTTGATCTGTCTAATGTTGACAGTGGGGTGTTAAAGTCTCCCATTATTAATGTGTGGGAGTCTAAGTCTCTTTGTAGGTCACTGAGGACTTGCTTTATGAATCTGGGTGCTCCTGTATTGGGTGCATAAATATTTAGGATAGTTAGCTCCTCTTGTTGAATTGATCCCTTTACCATTATGTAATGGCCTTCTTTGTCTCTTTTGATCTTTGTTGGTTTAAAGTCTGTTTTATCAGAGACTAGGATTGCAACCCCTGCCTTTTTTTGTTTTCCATTGGCTTGGTAGATCTTCCTCCATCCTTTTATTTTGAGCCTATGTGTGTCTCTGCACGTGAGATGGGTTTCCTGAATACAGCACACTGATGGGTCTTGACTCTTTATCCAACTTGCCAGTCTGTGTCTTTTAATTGCAGAATTTAGTCCATTTATATTTAAAGTTAATATTGTTATGTGTGAAGTTGATCCTGTCATTATGATGTTAGCTGGTGATTTTGCTCATTAGTTGATGCAGTTTCTTCCTAGTCTTGATGGTCTTTACATTTTGGCATGATTTTGCAGCGGCTGGTACCGGTTGTTCCTTTCCATGTTTAGCGCTTCCTTCAGGAGCTCTTTTAGGGCAGGCCTGGTGGTGACAAAATCTCTCAACATTTGCTTGTCTATAAAGTATTTTATTTCTCCTTCACTTATGAAGCTTAGTTTGGCTGGATATGAAATTCTGGGTTGAAAATTCTTTTCTTTAAGAATGTTGAATATTGGCCCCCACTCTCTTCTGGCTTGTAGGGTTTCTGCCGAGAGATCCGCTGTTAGTCTGATGGGCTTTCCTTTGAGGGTAACCCGACCTTTCTCTCTGGCTGCCCTTAACATTTTTTCCTTCATTTCAACTTTGGTGAATCTGACAATTATGTGTCTTGGAGTTGCTCTTCTCGAGGAGTATCTTTGTGGCGTTCTCTGTATTTCCTGAATCTGAACGTTGGCCTGCCTTGCTAGATTGGGGAAGTTCTCCTGGATAATATCCTGCAGAGTGTTTTCCAACTTGGTTCCATTCTCCACATCACTTTCAGGTACACCAATCAGACGTAGATTTGGTCTTTTCACATAGTCCCATATTTCTTGGAGGCTTTGCTCATTTCTTTTTATTCTTTTTTCTCTAAACTTCCCTTCTCGCTTCATTTCATTCATTTCATCTTCCATTGCTGATACCCTTTCTTCCAGTTGATCGCATCGGCTCCTGAGGCTTCTGCATTCTTCACGTAGTTCTCGAGCCTTGGTTTTCAGCTCCATCAGCTCCTTTAAGCACTTCTCTGTATTGGTTATTCTAGTTATACATTCTTCTAAATTTTTTTCAAAGTTTTCAACTTCTTTGCCTTTGGTTTGAATGTCCTCCCGTAGCTCAGAGTAATTTGATCGTCTGAAGCCTTCTTCTCTCAGCTCATCAAAATCATTCTCCATCCAGCTTTGTTCTGTTGCTGGTGAGGAACTGCGTTCCTTTGGAGGAGGAGAGGCGCTCTGCGTTTTAGAGTTTCCAGTTTTTCTGTTCTGTTTTTTCCCCATCTTTGTGGTTTTATCTACTTTTGGTCTTTGATGATGGTGATGTACAGATGGGTTTTCGGTGTAGATGTCCTTTCTGGTTGTTAGTTTTCCTTCTAACAGACAGGACCCTCAGCTGCAGGTCTGTTGGAATACCCTGCCGTGTGAGGTGTCAGTGTGCCCCTGCTGGGGGGTGCCTCCCAGTTAGGCTGCTCGGGGGTCAGGGGTCAGGGACCCACTTGAGGAGGCAGTCTGCCCGTTCTCAGATCTCCAGCTGCGTGCTGGGAGAACCACTGCTCTCTTCAAAGCTGTCAGACAGGGACACTTAAGTCTGCAGAGGTTACTGCTGTCTTTTTGTTTGTCTGTGCCCTGCCCCCAGAGGTGGAGCCTACAGAGGCAGGCAGGCCTCCTTGAGCTGTGGTGGGCTCCACCCAGTTCGAGCTTCCCTGCTGCTTTGTTTACCTAAGCAAGCCTGGGCAATGGCGGGCGCCCCTCCCCCAGCCTCGTTGCCGCCTTGCAGTTTGATCTCAGACTGCTGTGCTAGCAATCAGCGAGATTCCGTGGGCGTAGGACCCTCCGAGCCAGGTGTGAGATATAGTCTCGTGGTGCGCCGTTTCTTAAGCCGGTCTGAAAAGCGCAATATTCGGGTGGGAGTGACCCGATTTTCCAGGTGCGTCCGTCACCCCTTTCTTTGACTCGGAAAGGGAACTCCCTGACCCCTTGCGCTTCCCAGGTGAGGCAATGCCTCGCCCTGCTTCGGCTCGCGCACGGTGCGCACACACACTGGCCTGCGCCCACTGTCTGGCACTCCCTAGTGAGATGAACCCGGTACCTCAGATGGAAATGCAGAAATCACCGTCTTCTGCGTCGCTCACGCTGGGAGCTGTAGACCGGAGCTGTTCCTATTCGGCCATCTTGGCTCCTCCCCCCACAAAATCTTGTAGAATAACAATATATGGAAAGAAAATATTTTTGTACAGCTGACCATGTGTTTGTGTTTTAAGCTAAGCGTTATTACAAAAGAGTGAAAAAGCTTTAAAAATTAAAACATTGATAAAGTAAAAATAAGTTGCAGTAGTGATATGGCTTGGCTCTGTGTCCCCACCCAAATCTCATCTTGTAGCTTCCATAATTCCCACGTGGTGTGGGAGGGATCCAGTGAAAGGTGATTGAATCATGGGGGCAGGTCTTTCCCATGCTGTTCTCGTGATGGTGAATGGGTCTCATGAAATCTGATGGTTTTAAAAATGGGAGTTTCTCTTCACAAGCTCCTATTTTGCCTGCCACCATCCATGTAAGATGTGACTTGCTCCTCCTTGCCTTCCACCATGATTGTGAGGCCTCTGCAGCCATGTGGAATTGGAAGTCTAATTAAACCTCTTTCTCTTGTAAATTGCCCAGTCTCGGTATGTCTTTATCAGCAGCATGAAAACAGACTATTACAAGTGGCTAATTTATTATTGAGGAAGAAAAATACTCTTAATTTAGTGTTGCCTAAGTGTACAATGTTTGTAATGTCTACAGTACTGTATAGCAATATTGTAGGCCTTCGCATTCACTCACCACCTACTCACTGACTCACACAAAACAACTTCCAGTTTTGTAACCTCCATTTATGTTAAGTGGTCTATACAGGTGTACCATCTTTTATACCATATTTTTACTTTACCTTTTTAATGTTTTGATATGTTTACATATATAAACACTTACCATTGTGTTACAATTGTCTGCAGTATTCAGTACAGTAACGTACTGCATAGGTTTGTAGCCTAGGAGCCATAGACTATACCGTACAGCCTAGATGTGTAATAGGCTATACCATCTAGGTCTGTGTGAGTACGCTCTATGATGTTTGCACAACAAGGGAATCACCTAAACAACACGTTTCTCAGAGTGTGTCCCTGTTGTTAAATGATGCATAATTGTACACACATACATACACACATATATGTGTACATACTATAATGGTTAATTTTATGTGTTAATTTGATGGGGCTAAAGAATGCTCAGATGGCTGGAAAAATGTTACATCTAAGTATCTCTGTGTGCGTGTTTCTAGAAGAGATCAGCATTTGAGTCAGTAAATTGAGTACAGAAGATCTGTTGTCACCAATACTGATGGGCAGCATCTAATCTACTGAGGGCCCAAATAGAACAAAAATGCAGAATAAGGACAAATCCTCTTTCTCTCTCTCCTCTTGAGCTGAGAAATCCATTTCTTCTTTCCTTGGACATTGAACCACCCGGTCCTTGGGCCTTTGGACTCTGGCTTACACCAGTGCTTCCCCCAGTCCCCATTTTTAAAGTCTTTGGACTTGGACTGAATTACAACTCCACCAGATTTCCTCTTTCTTTGGCCTGCAAATGGCATATCATGGGACTTCTTGGCCTGCATAATTGTGTGAACCAATCCCCACAATGAATTCTCTCTGTCTGTGTGTCTATCCATCTAGCTATCTCCTATTGGTTCTGTTTCTCTGAGAACCCTGACTAATGTGAGTGGTTATCTTGGTGGCAAGTGAAAAGGGAGGGCCAGTAGCTCTGCTAGCTTAAATTTGAATAGCTAGACATTAAACAAGGAGCTCCAGTAAGTAAGGCAGACTTAATGGGATTGGTAAATGTTCTGCATAACCAGCTTTAACCAGAAGTTGTGTGCGTGTGCAGTAGAGGCTAGAGTGAACTCAAGCAACTCACATATCCCTGGCTTATGAAGCCAGTGCACATGCTCAGGAGACACACAAGTGAGCTCGATGGAAAGTAAAATGGGCAGACTTCTTAAAACAGCCTGATGTTTGAACGTGCTCTCCAGCCCATACAGAGTCATCAGCAGGCAGTGGAAAGCTTTCCTGGCTTTAGCTGTTTGAATGTAACCTCTAACTAATCTTCAGCAGAACAGTAAACTGTGCAGACACCGGGCCACCCCAGGAAAAAAGGCTTAAACATAAAAACCAGACAAAATAATAACATCAGAAAAAAATTCCAGTAGAAACAGCAGCCATACATTTTGGCAGAGACAGACCTCTCCGATTTAAAAATGAGAAACAAATAAAAGCCAAAAAAACACTAATGAAGGAAAAAAGTAAAAATCAATAGCAAATATTAAAAGAATCAAAAAGCAATATTATACTGCTATATTATCTAAAAATATAATCCTCAATTAAAATTATGTGAAGAAGAAAGTGTGACTCATACTCAGGAAAAAACAAAGCAATCAATGGAAAATGTGTGACTGAACACCCCACCACCACCAACCCACTGATTTTGGATTTAGCAAAGACGTCAAAGGACCTATGTTAAACATATGTTAAAATAACTTTATAGTATGGCTATTTTCATGATATTGATTTTTCCTATCCATGAGCATGGAATGTATTTCCATTTATTTGTGTCCTCTCTGATTTCCTTGAGCAGTGGTTTGTAGTTCTCCTTGAAGAGGTCTTTTATTTCTCTTGTTAGCTCTATTCCTAGGTATTTTATTCTCTTTGTAGCAATTGTGAGTGGGAATTCATTCATGATTTGGCTTTCTGCTTGTCTACTGTTGGTGTATAGAAAAGAAGACATTTATGTGGCCAAAAAACATGAAAAAAGCTCAGTATCACTGATCACTAGAGAAATGCAAATCAAAAGCACAGTGAGATACCATCTCACACCAGTCAGAATGGCAATTATTAAAACATCAAGAAACAACAGATGCTGGTGAGGCTGTGGAAACAGGAACACCTTTACACTTTTGGAGGGAATATAAATCAGTTCAACCATTGTGGAAGACAGTGTGGTGATTTCTGAAAGACCTAAAACCAGAAACACTATTTGACCCAGCAATTCCATTACTGGCTACTCACCCAAAGGAATATAAATCATTCTACTATAAATGAACATGCACGTGTATTTGATTGCAGCACCATTTACAATAGCAAAGACATGGAATCAACCCAAATATCCATCGATGAAGACTGGATAAAGAAAATGTGGTACATATACACCATGGAATACTATGCAGCCATAAAAGGAATGAAGTCATGTCCTTTGCAGGGACATCGATGGAGCTGGAAGCCATTATCCTCAGCAAACTATTGCAGGAACAGAAAAGCAAACACCACATGTTCTCACTTAAAAGTGGGAGCTGAATAATGAGAACGCATGGACACAAGGAGGGGAGCAATGCACACCGGGGCCTGTCAGTGGGTGGGGAGAGGGGTAGGGAGGGTGCCAGGAAAAATAGCTAATACCTAGGTGGGCTTAATACCTAGGTGATGATGGGTTGACAGGTGCAGCAAACCATCATGGCACACATTTACCTGTGTCACAAACCTGCACATCCTGCACATGTATCCTGGAACTTAAAATAAAATAAAACAAAATAAAAATAAATAAAGTAACTCTAAAAAGCATGTTTAAAGAATTAAAGGCAAGTCTAATGATAATGACTCAATGAATAGAAGCTCTTATGAAAGAGATAACAATTACAAAAAGCAAATGGAAATTTTGATGTGAAAAGTAAAAGGAAAAATTCAAAAGAAGCTCCATTAATGATTCATGTGGTCAGGAAAAAAAGAACCAATCATTCTGAAGACAGATCAGTATAAACTATCTGAAAATAAAACAGAAGAAAAACCAGGAAAAATAAACAGAATCTCAGAGATCTGTGGAACATTATTAGGCATACATATGTGTAATAGGAGTCCCATAACAAAAGAAGAGGGTGAAAGCAGGGAAGTATTTGAAGAAATAATGGCCCCAAATTCCCAAAATGTAAGGAAAGTCAATAATCTGCCAACCCAAGAAGCTCAGTTAACCCTTCTTTTCTTCTTCCCTCCCTCCATCCCTCTGTCCCTCCCTCCCTTCCTTCCTTCCCTTCCTTTCCTTCCTTCCTCCCTCCCTCCTTCCTTTCCTCCATCCCTCCCTTCCTTCCTTTTCTTTCTTTCTTCCTTCTTTCCTTTTCTTTTCTTTTTGTTTCTTCCTTTCTTTTCCCTTCCTTCCTTCTTCTTTCCTTCTTTCTTTTCTTTCTTTCTTTCTCTCTCTCTTTTAATGTAAACTTTACATTTTTATAGGCATCTGTAAAATAATTCAGGCACGTATACCAGGCTTACAACTATTTGCAAAATATGTAGGCAGATATATTATTGGATCAAAACACTCAATGTCAAAGAAATAGCTATTGAAGAGGTAAGATCATGGTACATCTGTTTATCTGTTTCCACTGGACATTACCACCAGCTTTTCCTAACGTTTCCTCTTCAATGCAGAGGAGGAACTGGGAGCTACATTTTCCAGAATTTGCTTATGCATATGGTTCCTGAAATAGAGCTAGAGTTTATGAAAGGCAGAGGTTGAAGTCCAGTTGGGAAGTCTGGAAAGAATAAGAGGCAGGCGGATACGGGACTAGACAGAATGTTTGAAGCGGTTTCCAAGTGAACTTTTGATAATCATCCACATTGGAGCCTCAGACTGATAAAAGTACATTAGGAGATACCCAGGAGTTCTTGAGATTTGCAGAAATTTTATGTTAAGCTATTGAGAATCACTTACTTTGATGCTGAAGCTAAGACTTTGGATAATAGTTTCTTTAGGCTTCATTTGTCTACCCCTTCACTAGTTGTTTAAGCCTCTAATCTCTTATATTAAAACTCTTCATAATTTGAAAAAATGCAATAATACTTCAGTCTTAAAATCATAGTTTATTTTACATTCACATAATTCATACAATCCCTCAATTGTTAGAATGCCTCTAAGTCACCATTACAGGAATAACCATCACTATACTTTCCACATGTAGGATAGAAAACTCCATTTCAATAAAGATAAGATCTCCAGATCTTGTAACGAATGCCATCCTTAAAATGAGGCAACTTAAGTCACCATATTTTTTTCTCCTGGAGAATATTTATTTTTTCTAAACATAGTATACAAATGGCTGCTCTAATTCTTCACTTCATTTTATCTCACCATGTAAATTTTGGCCACAGGAGTTTTTTTTTTTTTTTAACTATTTGAATTTACCCAGAGATGCTAATTTTGGAGATGACTAGAGCTAGATATAAGCAAGTAGCAAAGGCAAAAATCTGAGTTCTACAAAAGGTACAGGTTTTAAAATAAAACCCATTGGTGAGAATTAAAATTCCTTTTTCCACAATATTTTAAAATACATTTAAATTTTCAATGTCCTGTAACTATCAACTCTGTTTCATTTGCCATCTCTGTATTAGAATGCAAGTGAAGAGAAGGCAGATGTTGATGCGTTTGTGTTAGAGAAATGCATAGGCAATAACCAGAATAAACACTCCATAACGCATCTACTCATTGCCAGCTTCTATGAAAAGGAATGCTATTATTGTAACTCTGTTGCTTAATAATTTTGAATAATTAATAATTTATAAAGTTCTTGAATTCTCAAAGCTAGTACTTTATTCCTTCATCATAGTGTGATAGAAACTGAGGTAATAAAAAGGTGTTTTTTCAATGACTTAAGGACAATGTGCAAGGAAAAATCTATTTAACCACTTGGACTTGGAGAATCTGGTCATTACTTCTCAAGACAGGTTGACAGAGGCCAGGCGCGATGGCTCATGCCCGTAATCCTAGCACTTTGGGAGGCCGAAGTGGGCGGATTGCCTGAGCTCAGGAGTTCGAGACCAGCCTGGGCAACAATGGTGAAACCCCATCTCTACTAAAATACACAGAATTAGCCGGGCGTGGCAGCGTGTGCCTGTAGTCCCAGCTACTCGGGAGGCTGTGGCAGAAGAACTGCTTGAACCCAGGAGGTGGAGGTTGCAGTGAGCCAAGATCGCGCCACTGGACTCCAGCCTGAGCAACATAGTGAGACTCCGTCTCCAAAAAAAAAAAAAAAAAAAAAGGTTGACAGAGAGAAGTTAGTAGCATTCTCTTGCAATTGCTATTTATTATGAGCATGTTGTGAAGACTTTTTTTCCCTTTTAAATAGACTTTATTTTCTAGAGTTGTTTTAAGTTCACAGAAAAAAATGAGCAGAAGGTACAGAGATTTCCCATATATCCCTGCCTTCACACACACAAAACTTCCATCACTATCAACATCCTGCATCACAATGGTACATTTGTTACAACTGATCAATCTACACCAATGCAGGATTATCACTCAAAGTCCATAGTTTACGTTAGGGTTACCCTTGGTGCTGTGCATTCTGTGGGTTTTGACAAATATACAATGATGTGTATCAACAATTTATAGTATAATACAGAAGAGTTTCACTGCCTCAAAAAATCCTTGGTGCTTCACCTATTCATCCCTCCTTCCACTTCCCCTGGAAACCACTGATCTTGTTATGGACTCTACAGTTTTGTCTTTTGCAGAATATCGTATAGTCAGGATCACACAATATGTTGCTTTTTCAGATTGGTTTCTTTCACTTAGTAGTATACATTTTAGCTTTCTCCATGTCTTTTCATGGCTTGACAGCTCATTTATTTCAGCACTGAATAATATTCCATTGCCTGTATGTACTACAGTTTATTTATTCATTCAGCTACTAAAGGATATCTTGGTTGCTTCTAAATGTTGGCAATTATGAATAAAGCTGTTATAAGCACCAGGTTGATATGTAGACACAGGTTTTCAGCTCCTTTGGGTAAATACCAAGAAGCATGATTATTGGATTATACAGTAAGCATATGTTTAGTGTTGTAGGAAACTGCCAAACTGTCTTCGAAAGTGGCTGTACCATTTTGCCTTCTCACCAGCAACAAATGAGAGTTCCTGTTACACCAAACCCTCACTAACATTTGATGTTGTCACTGTTCTGGGTGGCCATTAAAAAACAGAGGTTAAGAAATTTTAATGAATTCTAAAAACTTTCAAATTTTGCCATGTTTCTACTTTTCTTTAAATCAGAAAGAATTATAGAAATACCCTACCCTCAATCCTTGTATAAAGGATTGTATAAAAGTAACATATTATCATAGGAATGTCATGTTTCCTACCCCCAAAAACCTAGGAATCCAGGTTATGGTAGTTTGGCTGTTAGGAACTTGAAACAAGTTTGCTTTGTAAATCTTCACATTCTAGAATATTTTACACAGAAACACTAGCTTAAACCTAAAACAAAAAATAAAAAATAAAAATAAAATTAAAAAAACTTCCATAAATTATTAAAAAAAAAATAACCACAACCATGGCTGTTCTGACTCAGTTTGCAATTTATGAAAGATGTCAAAATTTTATCTTCCAGCCAGGAACTATGGCTCATGCTGTAATCCCAGCACTTTGGGAGGCCTAGGCGGGTGGATACCTGAGGTCAGGAGTTTGAGACCAGCCTGGCCAACATGGTGAAACCCCGTCTCTACTAAAAATACAAAAATTAGCTGGGCATGGTGGCAGACGCCTGTAATCTCAGCTCCTCAGGAGGCTGAGGCAGGAGAATTGCTTGAACGTGGGAGGCAGAGGTTGCAGTGAGCCGAGATTCAGCCACTGCACTCCAGCCTGGTCGACAAAGCAAGACTCCCTCTGAAAAAAAAAAAAAAGTATCTTCCCTACCATATATAATTCATTCTCCAAACAGCATAATAGTAGTATAAAATCAATACTAAAAACAAATATTATTATGTGTATATATGTATATATATTTGAAAAAAAAATTCTACAAAGCTATCAGAAACTAACATTAAGAAACATTTAAATCCCAGCTATGTCCAACCCTATTTTGAACACTTCCTTCCAAAAGAGAATGACTAGGCAGGCATTCAGAGCATACTTTATAAGTATCAAAAAGATGTACAAGACCTGCTCAAATAAAAATTACTTTTCTGGAAACTGCATCAGGTATGAATAGGTGGAATATCACTTATCCCCTAAATGGCGTTATAAACCTCAGGCTGGTGTAAATTTAGTAAAATTAGCTTATACATTTAAGGAACAGTGTAAATTGGTAAAGCCCTTTAAAAAACAATTTAGAAATGTATATATGCAGCCATGAAAGATGCAAATTTGTGGGGGGGGGGCAATAATTTCACTCTTGTTCTCTTCCAAAAGATTCAGATTTGAAAATTCTAGAGTGTAAATTAAAATTCTCCCATCCTCCATGCTGCCAGTTACCAAGGCTGTCATGCTATTTGGTGTTACTTCTATTACCTTTCATAAAAGATTTGACTTAGCAAGGAAGCACATTTCTTAACTGCTTCACTTGTAAGTAGGGTAAGTTGTGGTACTTTGCTATTAGAATGACAGTGGTACTTTCAACATTGCCATAAAGACAGATTTTGTATAAGCATAGCTACCATATAGAAAATAGGGCACTTCTGTTCAATGGCCCTCAGAAATCTTTATTTACTAAGGTTTATCATTTATTTATAATTTTTTTCAAAAAAAATCACAGAACAATACTTTGGAAAGAATAAAGTCCAAAAATTCTCAAGGCTGAGCTGAAAATTTTGCCTTCTCAATGGATCCCCTCCCCTCCCCCACTTCCCACTCCCCACTTCTTTCCCTTACCTCTCCCCTCCTCTCCCCTCCCCTCCACTTCCCTCCTTTTATTTTTTGGATAGGGAGCTAGGAATGTGAGGCAATTCATTTAATTTCTTTTATTTTTTTGGTTGAGGGGCTGGGATTGTGAAGGCAAGTCATTTAACCTGAACTTTAATTTCTTCTCCTGTAAAAGGAGGTAACAAAATCCACCCTGAGCAAACTTGTTGTGATGGTCAATAAGCTATTAGTTCTGAACTCACTGTGATTATTCTTAAGAAAGTGAACATTTAAACGTTTCTAAGTAAGCAAACTGGACGTTTTGCAGTTATACTGTGCTTATAAAAAGTGTAGAGAACTGCTGTAGGTACTCAGTGTCCTTAGCAGATTATTCCTTATCATCAAAGCTAGGAAATGGTGCAGAATTCCAAATACAATTGTTTCCATTTTTTTAAATTTATTCTTCCAGGAAAGGCATAGTGTTGCATCTGTCATTAAAAATTAATTAAAATTTTTTTAAAAATCTTAAGAAACATGGGGAGCTAATATGCAAACACAAGTTGTTTTAAATAATTCCCTGATTTCCCCCTCTGCTCTTCAGCTTTAGGAAAGCAATAAAAGGTCTAAATCCTTTGCCCAAGAAAAACTTTCTATCCCTAACGTCCCTTTGACAGTGACATTGAGATTCAACTGTGACGAGGTATATTAGGATGTCTTTTATCATGTAGAGTTGCTGTACTCATTTATGTGGAATCCTAGAGCAGGCTCAGGCAAAGCTCACAGGACATCTTGTTCTTTCTAAAAAGGCTTCAATTAAATGTTGGAAATGTAAAGGCAATAGCTCAGTTCCCTTAGATGTGGCAGTTCTCATAGCTATAGGGTTGGACTCACTGTTCTTTAGTACATAATACCATACTTACAAAGTTATAATTTTCAGGGTTCTAAGGACTGATTTCATATTAAACTGTTTCCATGCATTTGTGTTAAAATAAACACTTTAATTTTCTGATATTTCCAAGGAGCTTCTATATACAGTCTAATGGGAAAAGATAACAAAATTCAATAAATTCAATTAAATTCAATGTAAGAAGGTCCTGGGGCATAAGCCTATCCAATATAATATTGGGAGATAAGGAGAAAGGGTATTGGGAATTAAATAGACCTGATTTCAATATGGACTCTATGAGGCTGTTCTGGTTTATCAGGTGCTATGGGGCTGAATGTTTATGTCCCTCCAACATTCATATGTTGAAACTTAACCCCCAAAGTATTAAGGTGTTGGTTTTAAGAGGTGGTACCTTTCAAAGGTGATGTGGCTTGGCTGTGTCCCCACCCAAATCTTATCTTGAATTCCCATGTGTTGTGGGAGGGACCCAGTGGGAGGTAATTGCATGGGGGTAGGTCTTTCCTGTGCTGTTCTCATGATAGTGAATAAGTCTCACAAGATCTGATGGTTTTATAAAGGGGAGTTTCCCTGCACCATCTCTCTTCTCTTGTCTGCCCCCATGTGAGATGTGCATTTCACCTTCCACCATGATTGTGAGGCCTCCTCAGCCATGTGGAACTGTAAGCCCACTAAAGCTCTTTCTTTAGTAAATTGCCCAGTCTCGGGTATGTGTCAGCAGCATGAAAATGGACTAATACAGAAGGTGATTAGGTCATAAGGGCCCCATCCTCATGAATGGGATGAGTGCCCTTATTTTAGAAAGGCTGAGGGAGCTTGTTTTTTCTTTCTGCTAAGTGAGGACTCAGAAAAGAAAGAGCCATCTGGGAGACCCGGGGTCTTACCAGACACCAGATCTGCTGGTGCCTAGACCCTGGACTTCCCAGCTTCCAGAATTGTGAGCAATACTTTCTGGTATTAAAATTTCTCAGTCAAAGGTATTTTAATACAGTAGTCAAAATGGACTGAGACCCCAGAGATTAAAATTTCCTGGAAAAAAATTTTCAGTGCTAAAACCTGGAAAATTCTAAGCAAATCAGGATGAGTTGGTCACCAAAACGGCACCACTTTCTTGGGCTTATCTCTTAACCTCTTTGAATGAAAACTGTTCTTTCATTTGTTAAATGGCAATGAAGTATACTTTTGTTTCCTTGGGTGATTTTGAAGACGAGATCAAACTAATAACCACAGTCATTTATTACGTGCTGTGTATCACGTTCTGTCAGTATTTATGTCCTTAATTTTATTTAAACCTTAAAGCTTAATAAAGTGGCCAAGGGCTCCATTCTCTCTGCTTGTGTTTGAGTTCTGGCTCCACCAGTCACTAGCTGTATAATCTGGGCACAGCCTCTAGCCTCTAAAACATTTTTCTCAACTGTAGAATTGTAAATCTCAACTGTAAAATGGTAATAGTTTCAACTTCAGTGTTGCTGTTTGCACAGAGAAAACAGACATGATCCCCATCCTATGAAGCTTACTTTTTCATGGGGAGACTAACCCCAAAAACTAAAAAGTAAATAGGTAATTCTGGAATGTGATAAGCACCTTGAAAAAAACATACGTTTTGTAATAGAAAACCACTTCTAATGATGCAGTGGAGGGAGGGGCTACTTTAGAGTGTCATGTAAAGAGAGCCTGTCTGAATAAATAATATTTGTACTAAACTTGAAACATGAGAAATGGACTGGTTATAGGAAGAGCAAGCTGATCATTTCTGGCAGAAGAAATGGCAAGTGAAAAAGGCCTGAGGCAAGAATACTTTTACTGTAGCACAGGAATGTCAAAGAAGCTGGTAAGGTTTGAATGTTGACCAAAGAAAGGAATGCCATGCCATCTTGGGAATATGGTTTGGCAACGAACAGAAGCACTGATATTTAATGACACAAATCATAGGCAACAGAGGATCAGGCCTTCTTTCTGTTTATCCCAGACAGTGAAATAATTCTCAAACAAGCTAGGTAGCCAAGTGTCAGCAACATCTAATATAAAATGGCCCAGAACTATCTACAGAAATAGATACAACTTATCAAACTTACACACGCAGCATTACCTAAGCATTTGGGGAGGAGAGTGGGTGGGATGTGTGGTGTGGGTGAAGGAGCTATAAGAACCCACTCTCCTCTTTCACTTAAATATGCTTAACTCTTTTTACCAGGATAAAATAAAAGCACTGGCTACTTCTGAGGAAGCAAATAGAAATTGATGTTTTGTTTTGCTTTCTTAGAAATTTTTCTGATTTTAGGGCTGGACACAGTGGCTCATGCCTATAATCCCAGCACTTTGGGAGTCCGAGGCAGGCAGATCACTTGAGGTCAGGAGTTCGAGACCACCCAGGCCAACATGGTGAAACTGGGTCTCTACTAAAAATACAAAATTAGCCAGGCGTGGTGGTACATGCCATTAATCCCAGCTACTCAGGAGGCTGAAGCAGGAGAATCACTTGAACCCAGGAGGCGGAGGTTGCAGTGAGCTGAGATCGTACCACTGCACTCCAGCCTAGGAGATAAGAGCAAAACTCTGCCCCAAAAAAAAAAAAATTCTGATTTTATAAACTATGAACTTTAATGCCTCAGGCTTCACTTTTTCTAAAGAAAATATCATTCCATTGCTCCTCTCTCTGCCGAAAAATTAGATTTCCAATAAAAAGCAAATATATGTCTTTTATTATGGAGGTATGTGCTCTTGGGGCTAATATGCAATAATTAGCTCTCCCCTCAGAAATTTACATCAACCAAATATTACAGCAACTGCCATTCCACCACTAGCGATCACCTGAGGCTAACAGAGGATTCTCCATAAAAATGCACATAGTACTAAGTTGACACCTAAAATCTATTTTTAGTTCTAGGCCAAAAATAGATTTTAGGTGTTAACCTAGTACTAAGTTGAAAGTGAGCTGCTCTCTGATGACAACAGTAGGTTGGAAGAAGCTGAAAGAAGAATGAGAAGCATCTTAGAGAGATGGTTTAGATAAAGAGTGCATAAAACACATTTCAGAAAATGAAGGTAGAGAGTGAGTCAGATGGTTCTTAAAATGAGGGCAGCAGATGGGAGATTAAAGGAGATCCAGGGCAAATGGTTAGTGTTTAATTATTCATGTAAAATCTTATTATATCAGGCAAAGCTGTTCTAAGGTTCCTGACAAACTTGAAGTCTCTGATACTGTGATTCTGTGAATTACAAACTCTCATTTCCAAAATCCTCACTGGGTTTTAACCTTCAGATGTTCCTATCCTTTACCAAAAAAAATATTAGTAGCAGTGATTAACATGACCTAGCCATTTCCAGAACCACAGATACACACACACACACACACACATGTATGTACATGTGTATGTTTTTATGTGTATTTTTTGAATATCCGTCATTCTAATACCTGTTTTGACTCTTCTATGTTCTTTTAAAATTTTTATCCAAATGTTAAACACCAATTATTTAGTTAGCTGTAGATATGATAAATCATAGTATGGATTCATTTTTAACTTTTGACTATGATCTAATTTCAGACTTTTAGAAAAGTTGTAAAATTAATACCAAATCTTCCCATAACCCTTCACTCAGCATCCCCTAATTTGAGCTTCTTACATAATCATATTAAAATGATCAAAACCAAGTGTAATACTATCAGTACAATACTCTAACTCAGAATCCCACATCATACGGCTCCTTCATTACTTCCAGCTGTAACAGTGCTTCATCTTTTCTTGTCTTTTGTCATCCTGACACACTTGACGACTACTGGGCATTTATTTTGTAGAATGTCTCTAATTATGAGTTGTCTGAAGCTTTTCATGCTTGGAATAAGGCTATACACTTTTGGCAGAAGTAAAGTTGTGTCCTTCTCAGTGCATCATATCATGGGATTTGTGATACTATGTCTTACTGGGTGATGTTAACCTGATCTCTTCGTTAAGGTGTTATCTGCTGGGTTCATCCACCATAAAGTTACTATTTTCCCGTTGTACCTTAGGCAAGATAATAAATAATCTGAGGAAGATACTTTGAGGCCATGTAAATATTCAGTTCTCAAAAATGTGCTCAACAATTTTAGGATTCGTAGATTGGTCTTGTCTGCAACAATAACTATGGTGTTTGTCCAGTGGTAATTTTTTGCTTTTCCTCTTTTTATATGTATCAATAGAATTTTTCCGTGACAAACAACAGACTCCTTTCTGCAATTTCTTTACTTGTTCAGTTATTCAGATTAGTATGGGCTCATGGATATTTATTCTGTCCTGTGGCTTATGGTCCAATACTATTAGTTGTTTTGTTGCTCAGATTGTTGTTCCATATTTGGCCATTAGAATTCCCTTCAAGTTGGCTCCTATGTCCTTTGCAAATGTCTCATCATTTTCCAAAAACTCCCTTATTATGGCATTGCAAGTTGTTCCAGCTCATCTTGTACTTTCCTGGCCCAATCCCTGGAATCAACCACTTCTGCATTGAGCCCTGGTTCCTTTGACAGAAGAATGGTGTTTAGGGACCAAAATCTGGATGCTAGTTGTGCTCATTGTTCCTGGAGTTTCATTGCTCCCAGGCCTCTCAGCAGAGCTATGAAATGTATGTGTGTATGCCAACCCACACATGCACACACACACACAAACACATCTGTATTTGTGTGTACATATGTGTATCTATGCACATATATTTATGTTTGTGCAGATGTGTTATGTGTGCATATTTGTTATTTGACTATGATGTACACTTAAAGTTGTTATAGAAATGCTAACCCACACTTCTGTGAGAAATATAGAGCATTTGTTTATAGATCTGTTTATCTCTTGACTTACAGAATCCAGTCAAAACATTGTTTCTAAAGTTATTTATGTCAGTTATTGTCTTCTCCATTTCCCCAGTGTGGACTGTATTTGTAATATAGTCAGACTCATTTGGTACTGTTTTATTGCATTTCTAGGTTCTTGCTCTATATTGTGGTTGATTTTAATAAATACATAATTGGGAGATATGTGACATATTACTGTAATTCTAAGAGCCAGAGCTCTACAAAAGAATACACACAAAGTTGTGCTACTACCTCCTCCTCTCTACTACCCCATACTCACTTATCACTTTTTTCTATTACTTTCAATGACCCCTCTTTATGTACCAACTTTTTAATTTCTGGTTTATTTTTTCTATATTCTCTGTTGTGTAAATGAGTAGATTCACGTGTAGTTTTTTCGATTTTCTTCGTTACAAAAACAGTAGCATATGCAAGGTAATAGTTTATGTATTTTTTCCTTATCAGTCTATTTGGAAATCATTCCCCCCATTAGTCCACAGAGATTCTGCACATTTTTTTAAATAGCTTCATTGCCCTTGATTAAGTGGATATACTGTAATTTATTCAATCATTTTTCTGGGTATGGACATATAGGTTTTTGCAATATTTTGCAATCAAACAATGCTGCAAGGAATAACCTTGGATATATGCATTTTTCAGGGTCGGTTCCTAAAGGTGTATCTTCAGGGTAGGAAGATATACCCCAGAATCGGAATTGTTGAGTCAAAAGACAAGTGCATATGTAGTTTTATTAGATAGTGCTAAATTTGCTTTCAGAGTGATTGTGCAAAGTTGCATATTTGTCAGCAAAGCATGGCAATGCCAATTTCCTCATAGCCTCTCTCACAGAGCAGTTATGGGTTCACAGCAAAATTGGACAGACAGTTCAGAAATTTCCTGTATCAGTGGTCCCCAACCTTTTTGGCACCAGGGACCAGTTTCCTGGAAGGCAATTTTTCCACGGGGGTGGACGGTTTAGGGATAAAACTGTTCCACCTTCAGATCGTCAGGCATTAGATTCTTGTAAGGAGCATGTAACTTAGATCCCCCGCATGTGCAGTTCACAATAAAGTTTGCATTTCTATGAGAATCTATTGCTGCCGAGGAACCGATAGGAGGTGGAGCTCAGGCGATAATGCTTGCTGGCCCACTGCTCACTTCCTGCTGTGCAGCCCAGTTCCTAACAGGTCACAGACTAGACCTGTCTGTGGCCCAGGGGTTGGGAACCCCTGCCCCATATAACCTCTGCCTTATAGACGAATAGCCTCTCCCTTGATCATCATCCCCCACCCTAGTGATACATTTGTTACAACTGATGAACCTACATTAATACATCATTATCACCCAAAGCCCGTAGTTGACATTAGGGTTCACTTTTAGTTTTGTATATGGGTTTGGACAAACATACAAGGGTATGTATCCACCATTATGGTATGACACAGAAGTTTCACTGCCCTAAACATCCCCTGTTCTCTGCCTATTCATCCTTCCCTCCCCAAAACCCCTGTCAACCACTGATATTTTTACTCTCTTTATAGTTTTGTCCTTTCAAGAATGTCACGTAGTTGGGATCATACAGTGGATAGCCTTTGAAGATTGGCTTCTTCCACTTAGTAATATGCATTTATGTTTCCTCCATAAATGCATTAATGAGAGTTTTTAGCACTGAATATTATTCCCTTGTCTTGGTGCACCACAGTTTATCCATTCACCTACTGAAGGATATCTTGATTACTTCCAAGTTGCTACACACATTGTGTATAGGATTTTGTGTGAACATGTTTTCATCTCCTTTGGGAAAATACCAAGGAGCGTGATTATTGGATCATATATTGTATGTGACACTATTTTAATGTCAGATAGTCCAATAGATAAAAATGATATCCCTGTTTTAACTTATACTTCTCTAATTATCAGCAAATTTTAATATTCTCTTGAATGTTGGATGCCCATTTTAAATATTATTTTTGAAATTGTTATTTCATATCTTTTTCCTATATCAGGTCATTTGCCCCTAAAATATTTGTTCCTCAATTTTTCAGAATTTTTAATACAAAGAATATTAGCCATTTGTCTTAGATATATGTTGCAATTATTTTCTCCCTGTTTACAAATTGTCTTTTTTGACTTTGCTTTCAGTGGTTTTTGGCATGCAAATTTTTCATTTTTATGTAGGGAAATTTATCAATCTTTCTTTTACTGCATTTTGATTTTGATTCACAGAAAGTCTTCTTTTATACCAAGGTCAAGAAGGAACTCATCCATATTATCATATATAAATTAAACAGTTTTGTTTTGTTTTTTACATTTATATCCTTGTTTTATTCTTATATACGGTATGAAACATAAATGCAGTTTTATTAATTCAATCAAAATGGTTATCCACTTACGCCAGCACAATTAAAAAAAAAAAGACTTTCTTCACCACAGAGATTTGAGAGGCTACCTTTATCATTTATTAAATTTCCATATGTATTCAGTCTGTTTCTGAACTTTCTGTTCTTTCCCACTGGTCTATTTGCCTGTTCATGTACTGATACCACAATTTTTAATTAAGGCAACTTTACATCTGATTGTAGCTAATTCACCTAGTCATTTTTTCCCAATTTTGTGTATATTTTCCTGGATATTTTTGCATTTTTTAATCTAAATAAACTATTTTCAGCTTATCTAACTCTATACATAACTTGCTAAATTTATAGGATTTATAAATTAATTTAGGAAGTTCTGACATACCTGTAATATGTTGAATTTTCCCAAGCAAATGTTTGCAATGTAATTACAAAAACTTGTAATGTTGAATTTTCCCAAGCAAATGCTTTTGCATTTGTTTAAGTCTACTCTTACGTTCTTCAATAGTGTTTAAAATATTTTCTCACATGGGTTTTGCACATTTTTTGTTGTACTTATTCTGAATATTTAATCTTCATTGATTCTACTTTATTTTTAAATCTTTTTAACGTTTAAGCATTTTCATATTGTCATGCGGGGTACATTATAATTATTTCAATAGTTTTGCAATATTATATTAGATTTATGTGATTCTAATGTGAGGAATTTTGCTTCTTCTGACTCTAACTACATATAATGTTGTATTAAGCTACTTTCTATAATTTTTTTCTTATCTTAGGAGAACTTCCAGAAACAGGTTGTTATTTTTTGAAATGCAATTTAAAGGGTTGTATCAATCTACAGTGTCAATGACATTCAATAACTTTTTCAGCTTTTTCATATCTTTAGCATTGATCAAGGATCAATTTTAAATTTTGTTGATAGGGACAAAATATCACTTATTTTTAGCTTTGAATAATTTTGATGTCTAACATTGCTTATCATATTTATGACTTTTCTGTCTTCTAGCTTGAATGGTTTATTAATTTGGTCTAGTTTAAAATTTTTATGGCACTTAATGTAATTTTAAAAGGCTAAACAATTTGTTAAACTTAACCTAATAAATTTGTGCTTAAAAAATCAAATATTTTCCCAGAAATATAAAAACAAAACCATCATTTAAAATGTGTTCTTTAATGTGTGTTATATATAAATATATTCATATTTTAGATATGTGAGTTTAGTTTCAAACTGAAATATAGCCTTTGGCTCCATTCTTGGCCCTTATCAATATTTAGCCTTGTTTTGAGTTACTGCTTCTAAACTACTGAATTTTCTTCTGCATATAAATTATCTGGAAAACTTGTTCATATGAATTATTTCACTTCATTCTGAATCTTGTTTCCCTATTCAGTCAACTGTTAATGTATTAGAGATGAACTGTTTTTGGTCCTTTATTAGTCTGTATAAAATCTAAACAAGTGCTGAAGTTAAAACAAACACCTTGAATGTATGCTCCCTATTATACATGTGATGTGTGCAATCAAGGTAAGTTTTGGAATGTCCTAGTTCTTCTTCACTGCTAGGTAAGTCAGTTAATTATTTGCCACTCTGTCTGTCCCTTAGTCTATGGGTCCCCAAACCTATAAAAATTAGTTGTGTATCTTTAATATAGAGTTAATGCAGTTTTATCTATATCTCTGAACTAAACTTTGCCTAGGATCAGCCTTTATGCCACTCATATCAGAAGGAACAATCTGTTTTGGAAGATTACGGTATTTCAGAACTGAACAATGTGTGTTTTTCATCCCAAAGGACTGAAAATGTCATCTGTTCAAACTGAAATTTTTCAATCCATTACACTGTTAAGCCAAGATTTTTCTGTTGTACACCAAGGTGGAAATACCATGTTTCTACACACCAAGATGAAGGAGAGACTGACAGTTGCGTAGATTTGTTGGAGTGTGTGTATGTGTGGGGTGTGTGTGTGAGAGAAAGAGTGTGCTCACAGGAAAACATTCTTCAATTCACACAGAAGGAACAATAGTTGGAAGTGTTCTTACACACAATAACTTGTGTAGTCGCCAACCAATGTCCTTCAAGAACACTTTCCCATGCTTCTTACCAATAAAGGCTAAGAATTTTAAGCTACCCACGAAATAAATGAATACAAGTATTGAAGCATCTCTCTGCAAATTTATTGCTGGCTTCTTTGTGTTATTACTAATGTGTCATGAGATGATCTGTACTATTAATGTGGCACTGCACATTTGTGTAAGTCTTTATAGTTTACTAATGTTTCGCATAACTCACTTCATTTCATCTTCATAAAACTATCAAGACACTTTATAAACTTGATTACATATTTCAGGAAAAATTATTTATTCATTCACTCATTTAATCATCTATATCCATTGAAGCATTAGTCCATTTAATCATTAAATATTCATTCATTCATCTTTTTCTTCATTCAGTTATTATTTATACCATGCCATATATACAACTGATGTAAGATGACTGGAAATATACATTATTTAGACCAGTGCCTCTTAAGTTTTAATGAGCACATGAATAACCTTGAGAAGCCTGTTCAGATTTGTCATTTCTAATAGGCTACCTGATGCTGTAGATGCTGCTGGTCCATGGGTCATCCTTTGATTAGTAAGGCTTAGATGGTCTTCTCTCTTCTTGAGGGGTCCTTAGGAAAGGAGATATAACACATACTGGACATTCAGTAACTAAAATTAGCTTCCCAAGCTCCCACTTGTGTCTGAGAGAGTGTGGTTTGGGAAGTGTTTAATACTCTTAGACATGGTATGTAATGTTTCTGTATAACAGGATTTTATTTTCAATTCTGTTTTCAAGAAAAAAGTAGATTTGCCAACTAAAGTTGCTATATCCATCCAACTCACCTTCAGAATACAAATAAACACTGAAAATAAACACTGATCCAATAGAGAGACGAGAGTATTCCCAAAGACCACAGTCCTATAATGTTAATCTGCTGCACTTGTTTCAGCAATAAATCGGCAAATATTAAGAAGCATCTGTGGTCAATGAGAATTATCTTGATGCCAGAAACTGTGCTCTCCAAAGCATGTGGGTCACACAGCTTGAATGTCCCAGAGCTACTCTTTATCACCCAGCTCAAGAGCTGGCTCCAGTCACTTAAAGAAGGAAACAGATTCTGAAATCAGCTCTATGTACCTTGTCATGTATTTTTAATAAATATGTGTGATTCTTATCATAGAGGATGGTTTCAGTGAATTGAAAACCACCTGTTATTTTGCTTTTCCTTTTCTTATTGTTGTTTTTTTAATAAAGCTTCATTTTAAAGAAAACTTCTGCCAATTATTACATGTATATGCCTGGAGAGTCACACCCCTAACTGAGTATAAGAATCAAGCTCTGCAGTTGGGAAACTAGAGGTTGTGGTCCAAACGTGGCCAAGCACCTGTGTTTGCAAAAAAAATAAATAAAGAAAAAAAAATAAAAAAAGTTTTATTGTAACATACACACATACATTCATTTACCTATTGTCTATGACTTCTTTTATACTACATGCCACAGACAGCATGTGGTCCACAAAGCAAAAATATTTACCACCTGGCCTTTACAGGAAAAGTTTGCTGCTCCCAGTCAAGATAATGGTAAAAATCTAGATTAAATAACCTTCCTTGTAAAATTCCATATCATTAGGGCTGTTGCTGCATGGTTGGCTAATACACTGTAAACACTGTGTATGTTTGCACATGCACACACACACTCACTCATACCCACTAGGAGAAGACACATATATATTCCTAGTAAATAATAATTTTTTGATCTTTTTTTCATTGTATAAATAATAAATCTACTTCCAAGGAATCATCTTAAGCAAAAGGGTGGGATACTGAGGGCTTTTAAAAAGTCCTTTGACATTCAAAGTGAGTTATCACAATATAGTGTTCCCGGAGATTATGCATATGCATGAAGCAATTAAATACACAAATGAAAATACAACTGCCACAGATTTAACGCACAAATCCTGGGATAACATTTAAGTCTGATCAATGCAGCACAGGAAACAAGGCAGAATTCTCCGTGCCCTCTTACCAACTCTCCTTCCTCTTACCCACCTTCCCAACACCTAAAAAGTGATTCTGACTCATGTTTTTAAGGTGTCTGGGAACAAATACAGGAAGGGTAATAACAACAAACAACAGGAGGACAAGAAACATAATTGAGGTGCATTTAACCTAATGGGAACATGAATGAAGATTGTGTCCTTTCTGTTATAATGCGATTGTTCGCGTCCTTCAGAGTATCCTGAAAACACAACCAGGGAAAACCCATGCTAAAGAAGGCAGAGAATCCCACGGGGTCAGAAAAAAATAACATTGCTTTGTAGAGGTTGAGGAATACATGGGAGGAATGAGAGTTTTGTGGGTCTCTAGTCACTGTCAAGATCTAGTAAATTATGCACCAGTGTTACACGAATCTTCTGCTACGATGTTATTATCCATGCGACTATATCAGACTCAAGTTGAGCTATGACGTAATCACCACTGAAAGCCAATTTGTTTACTAAACTAATAGCTTCTCTGCTGCAGTTATCTAAGTGTCCTTTTTTGTTGCCCTCCTAATATCAATACATTTTATCTTGTTGTTGTCTAAATCTGACATTAACTCTGTGTGTGAGATTCAGAATATTTTCAGAATGCCTTCAACCTGCTTGAATCCAAGAGTATTCAAGTACTAAGACAGGCCTGGCATGGTGTTCCAAAAAGAGGACAAAACTTGCATGCTAAAAGGATTTGTTTCCTAGTCTACTGAGAACATTTTGCCCAGCTTCTATTATCTTCATATGAGAATACTATCAAGATATTGATTAAGCAAGGTGCACATCAGTCACTTTCATCTCAAACCCTGGCCAAATGAAAGAGAAGACTCCTTCTACCTGGGGCTCAACTTAGCTCAATTTCAAAGTGATTGCAAAAATTAGAGTACAAACATCAGTTTACCAATGGAGTAGAATTAATATATCTGGCATCTACTCAGCATCTATTTGACTGTGAGTGATTCTTCTGTGCCCCCAAACTTCTTCATTTCCAATCTGCTGGCTCAGGCAATGAGATGGGTCTGGTCCCCTGGTTTCCTTGAAACCCCTGAATTGCTTTTGGCACTGGAGCAATGTTGTGATCTCAAGCCTGCTTGCCACCTTCTCTAAGTAGCTGAATTCTGCTTATTGTGCTTCCAAATGCAGCTTCTTTCCTATGACTGACTTGATTATCTAGGGTGAGATAATAACTAGACAATACCGTTCAAGACATAGGCATGGGCAAAGACTTCATGACTAAAACACCAAAAGCAATGGCAACAAAAGCCAAAACTGACAAATGGGATCTAATTAAACTAAAGAGCTTCTGCACAGCAAAAGAAACTAGCATCAGAGTGAACAGGCAACCTACAGAATGGGAGAAAGTTTTTGCAACCTACTCATCTGACAAAGGGCTAATATACATAATCTACAAGGAATATTAACAAATTTACAAGAAAAAAACAACCAACCACCTCAAAAAGTGGGCAAAGGTTATGAACAGACACTTCTCAAAAGAAGACATTTATGCGGCCAACAATCATATGAAAAAAAGCTCATCATCACTGGTCAATAGAGAAATGCAAATCAAAACCACAATGAGATATCATCTAATGCCAGTTAGAATGGCGATCATTAAAAAGTCAGGAAACAACAGATGCTAGAGAGGATGTGGAGAAACAGGAACACTTTTACACTGTTGGTGGGAGTGTAAATTAGTTCAACCATTGTGGAAGACAGTGTGGTGATTCCTCAAGGATCTAGAACCAGAAATACCATTTGACCCAGCAATCCCATTACTGGGTATATACCCAAAGGAATATAAATCACTCTACTATAAAGACACATGCACACATATGTTTACTACGGCACTGTTCACAACAGCAAAGACTTGGAACCAACCCAAATGCCCATCAATGATAGACTGGATAAAGAAAATGTGGCACATATACACTGTGGAATACTATGCAGCCATACCAAAAAAAAATGAGTTCATGTCCTTTGCAGGGACATGGATGAAGCTGGAAACCATCATTCTCAGCAAACTAACCCAGGAACAGAAAACCAAACACTGCATGTTCTCACTCATAAGTGGGAGTTGAACAATGAGAACACATGGATACAGGGAGGGGAACATCACACACCTGGGCCTGTCGGGGGATGGGGGGCTAGGGGAGGGATAGCATTAGGAGAAATACCTAATGTAGATGAAGGGTTGATGGGTGCAGCAAACCACCATGGCATATGTACACCTATGTAACAAATCTGCATGTTCTGCACATGTATCCCAGAACTTAAAGTATAATTTTTTTAAAAAAAGTAATCTTTCTCCCCTAGTCTTCTGCTGCTGTATTTCACATTCTAAATTTACCTTCTCAGTTATCAAGATTGCCCAACCAAAGCCTAGTTCTACCATTGTTCTAAGACTTCTATATTGATTCCCCTGTCATCTGCATAAAGGGCATTCCTACCAGATTATCAGCTGTCTTAGCTCCTACTTGACCAATGAAGCTGTGCCAGTATTCTGACAACTTGTTCTTTACTCCAAGTTTCCTAATTTATAAATCAGGCTTTCTTACAGAGAGCAAGCCATTGAAAATAAAAATTTCCTGAAGGATCTTACTCAAAAGAATATTCTTGGTTACAATAAAGATTCTTGGTTACAATCCACAGAACCTGATTATGGTCAATTTAAGAAGAAAAGAAATGAATTACAGGGATATGGGTAGTTCACAGCTTAGAGAACCAGGTGCCAAAAATGACTGACAATCAATGTAGGCAAGAAATATGAGTATTGCCCAAGGTGGAAGAAGCATGGGCACAGTCACCCCGAGAACATTCTCGTTAGGTGACTTTTGGTGGTACCACACTTCTGGTACTGCCGCCATTAAATGCTAAAGCCCATCACATCTAAAGTCCTGGTGCTGCTGCCTTTGCCACACACCTCACAATTCTCACAGCAACTATTACCACTGTCACCATGAATAATGTTTATCCCCATAAAATTAAAGTGCTCTGCCAAGATTCAAAGTCCAGGGTGGGTGCAGCTGGTTGGCTTGTGCTCTAGCTGTCAAGGGTGAGAGGAGTGGCGTTTCTAGAAAGGGAACTGGGGTTCTGGTTTTTACCCAGATTCAGACAATGGGGAATTTCTTAGAAAAAGGAGAATGGTCTTCAGATGGGGTACACCCACTCATTCCCTCCCAGACCAATACTACAATTGGACTTGTGGATGTCAGAATAATGGCCCTCAAAGATGCTTATATCCTAATCCCTGAAACCTGTGAGTATACTACACATCGTAACATATGTAGGATACATACTACATGGCAAACGGAAATTAAGGTTGCAAATGGATTGAAGGTGGCAAGTCAGCTGATCTTAAAATAGATTATCCTGGATTCTCTGGGCAAGCCTAACATAATCATAAGGGTCTGTAAAAGTAGAAAAGAGTCAGAAAGGAAGGTCACAGTGATTGTCACATGAGGAGCTCTTTGAAGGTGGAGGAAGGGGTCTGTGAATCAAGCCATGCAGACTGTTTCTAGAAGCTGAAAAGGCAAGGAAGCAGGTCCTGCCCTATAGCTTCCAGAAGGAAATGCCGCCCTGTCAACACCCTGAGTTGAGCCTAGTAAGACCCATGTCAGACTCTGACTGCAGAACCATGCGGTAATAAATTTTGTGTTGTTTTAAGCCACTAACTTCGTGGTAATTTGTGACAGCAGCAACAGAAAACTAATGCAGAAGTCTTTGACTTATGTTCTTTTGGAGCTAATTAAATTTTCTATCCCAGGTGGCATTTTTTGTTTTCCTAAACAGCCATTAACTTACATTTAATTAACAGACAAAGACTTAGGCTATTTTGTTGCTATGGATTTTCCCCTTATAATTGCGAGAAGGGATTCCAGTTTTAATACCTACTCAAAAATTATATTTCTTACAATAATATTTAACCAATGTATGAAAAGAGCTTAGCACATTCAAAAAGCAAAGAACAGCTTCAGATAACAGTGATGCTAAACAGGCAATCAAAAGATTATTTCAAATACTCAGTACTATAGGGCAGTCTAGCTCTTAAAATTTTTATTAAATGTTTAATTGACTAAAAATAGCTGTATACATCTATGGGGTACAATGTGATATTTTGATATATGTATACATTATCAAAAGATTAAATAAATCTAATTAATATATCCATCAGCCCACCTACTTATCTTTTTGAATGATCTTTAATATCTACTATTTCATTAATTTTGAAATATACATTGCATTATTATTAACAATGGTTACCATCCTGTGCAATAGATCCCTAATTTTACTCCTCTTAACTGTAACTTTATGCTCTTTAATCCCTTTCAATGAAAGAGAGCTGTGTTTGACCTTATAGACTTTTAAAATTTCTCAATTCCTTTGCAAGTTACTGATTTTTAAAGGGCAGAAGGGGGCAGGTAATGATTTCTTATAGAGACCAAATAGTGAAAAATGGTGAAGACAGTTTTTCCTGCTGCCCCCCCACAATTGCCCACCATAAGTTATGAATTGTGGAGTGCGTGATTTGGTAAATTAGAGACACATATGTAGTTTTAGAAAGCTATTCATCCTTGGTTTGATTCACTATTATGGTTTCTTGATCAGTGATCAACAAATTTTCTGTAAAAGGCCAGATAATAAGTATCTTTGGCCTTACATGCCAGAAGGTCCCTGTCATAATACTCAGTTCCATTGTAGCAAGGATACAGCAATGTTCAGTACACAAAGGAGTTTGAGGTGCAGCCTAGATGTCACAATTTCTAATAGTTCCCATGTCATTCTAACTTGCACCCAGGGTTAATAAACACTGCCTTAAGAAATGGCTCCTGGCCAGGCACCGTGGCTCACACCTGTAATCCCAGCACTTTGGGAGGCCAAGGCTGGTGGATCATCTGAGGTCAGGAGTTCGAAACCAGCCTGGCCAACATGGTGAAACCCCGACTCTACTAAAAATACCAAAATTAGCCAGGCATGGTATTGGGCGCCTGTAATCCCAGATACTTGGGAGGCTGAGGCAGGAGAATCACTTGAACCTGGGAGGTGGAGGTTGCAGTGAGCTGAGATTGCACCACTGCATTCCAGCCTGGGCAACAGAGCAAGACTCCATCTCAAAAAAAAAAAAAAGAAAAGAAAAGAAAGAAAGAAAAGAAAAGAAATAGCTCCTAAACCAGATGAACAAACATCAGAATAATCTGGAGACATACAGGTACAGTGAGAAAATATGCAGAGTCATACAGGATCTTGCCATATCAAATGACTCAATTTCTGATGGAGAGGTCAGGCAATATGTAGCATTTTCAAATTCTCTATACGGAAATAGGATGTTTAAAAACCATGTTCTTAAAGAAAATGGAATATGTGCCACTAATCATTTCTTTCTTTGCTGTTTACATGTATCTTCTGCATTAAGTAATAATTTTCTCCAAGCACCTGCAGATTATAACAAAGATAGTTTGGAGGTGATAGCTTAAGAATTTAAAAATCTTAAATTCTGTTATCTGGATTTTGAAGGAATATCGGGTGCGTGGCTGGGCTGACTGAGTTATTTTCCTGAAGCAAGGAGAAAGTTCAGCCTATCTTTATTTTGATATAGCATTCAGAAGGTCTATAAAATAGTATCTAAGGACTGAAAATGGGCACAGAAGGGGAGGAAGAATGGCTCTTTGGAATAGATGCTCCAATCTACCTTGAGAAGACGGAGGAAAACATTATCCTGCTGTGAGTTATTTTAAAACATATTGGTCTTGGCCGGGTACGGTGGCTCGCGCCTGTAATCCCAGCACTTTGGGAGGCTGAGGCAGGTGGATCACGAGGTCAGGAGTTTGAGACCAGTCTAACCAACATGGTGAAACTCTGTCTATACTAAAAATACAAAAATTAGCCAGGCATGGTGGTGTGTGCCTGTAATCCCAGTCACTCAGAAGCCTGAGGCAGGAGAATCACTTGAACCCAGGAGGCAGAAGTTGCAGTAAGCTGAGATCCCATCATTACACTCCAGCCTGGGTGACAGAGCCAGACTCCATTTCAAAAAAAAAAATATATTGGTCTCTGTGTTATCTTTAACAAACTTTTTGTTGTATGTATGTATGTCATATATTTTTTTAAAATTTAATCATAGGACTTAAAAAAAAGACCACTGGAGATGAGCACTGCTTTTTGCATCTGTAAAGGCCAGGGATGGGGTCTTATTTATTTTTGAATACTAAACACTTAATAAAAGTACCTAGAATATAGTAGGCACAATGAAAGATTACTTAGTGAATGAATTTAGGAAGGACAAAATTCCACATGGAGGACAAGATGCATTTTTAGAATGTCAAAATTCTGGAAGAGTTTTAGGGGGCTGAGTCATGGATATTTCTTTGTCCAAAAGAGCAGGTTTCCAAACAAGTTCCACACATATGTTGCATTGTCCTTGGGAGGAACATAAATGTAACATCAGACTATACAGACATGGCTAAATAGCCTGCATGGTCCCTCTTGCTGACTGACATTCCTGGAAATCCCACGCAAAGCATCTCTATTTCTTCCTCTCCATATCTTTAAGATAAAAACCTACTCAAGATTTACTGTGAAGAATTTTGCAGAACACTTGATTGAATAATAGAGTTCTTAGTTACTTTCATTTGATTTTCGAAAATGGGTAGTTAAAGCTCTCTTCCTTTCAGGCTGGAACAGTAGCTCACTCCCATTTGGGTCTTGAATCATAGGGAAGAAATTGACCCATTTTCAGAATTTCAGTGTCTTAGTTATTTATGGCTGCCTATAAACCCATTCTTCTTCACCTCCTTGGACAGCAATCGCAAGGCTCAGGTGCCAAACTGGGAAATGTAATGTATTTTTCCAGGAGCAGCTGGCTTCTTGGGAGCACTCTGGCAATGATATGGTCCCCTTTGAAACTGCCTACTTCACTGACTTGTGTTTTTAAGATGCATGATAAACTGTTTGGGCTGCTGTGCTGTTGTACATGCTATTTTCCTTTGACTCACCTCAAAATAATGAGGAACTGATATCCATTTAATCCACATGGAGAAAAAGCTACTGAGTACAACTGAAAAAACAGTCCATATATGGAATATCCACATATTTATATGCTGGAAGGGACATAGGGGCCACCTAGTCCAACATCCTACCCAGTGCAGGAATTTCCTCCATAATGACCCTGAGCAGGAATCAATCAACATCTGCTTAAAAGTTTCTGGAGACAGGGCAATTACTACTTCTTAAATCAAACCATGTTATCACTGGATTCCTCTAATTGTTTAAAAGTCCTTCCTAATACTAAGATGAAAGCTGCCTCCCCACAGTGTTTTGCACCAGTCCCAGACCTGTGTTTAGAGCAGCACAGAATAAATCTGATCCCTCTTCAACCTAAAAGTTTCCCAAATGTTTCTCATCCTGTATTCTTCATTTTCGAATGTCACCATCTCCAGTTATTTCAACTACTCCTATTGCCTAGTCAGAAAAGCTTGTCGGTGTACATTTTTAAATATGTCATCTACTTTCAGAATTTCATTGGGGTTTACTACTGCTTGTCATTGGAACATTATAATTCTATCAGTCTAGATTCTTAACACTTGAACTTTCTGTTAGCAGTCTACACATTGCTGGCTTCAGTTATTCAGGAACTATGCTAACCTCTTGTATGTCTTCTACTCTCTAGTAGTCTCTCAACACCCTCAAGACAGGTACCATTATAATTCTCAATTATATTTGAGAAAAGTGATGGTCAGAGAGATTCAGAAATCTGCTCACAGCTAGTTCTTTCTGACTATAAGACCCTTAATTAATAAACTATATTGTCTCTCTTAAAATAAATGACAACTAAAACTGAGTTATTTTTAAAATAAGTTGCTGTCAGACCAGAATCTGTTCTTCCTTTTTATTGCTTCCTGTGTGGTTCCTTAGTGGCAATCATATAATAGGAAACTTCATCATGATAATTCACTTCCACATACAATTAATGAATTTAATTCTTACAGCAAATCTATAGGATTTAGTCTCGTTTAACTGTATTTTCTATGTTGAAACTTGAAGCTCAGAGCTTTCCAAAGTCACACAGCCAGTAATGGGATCATCACTAAGCCTGTTTCTATTGACCATTTTGTCTTTTGATTATTAATTACTGTTTGCTGCTTCTTTGCACATATATAGTACTTTTAATTGATTGTTGGATATTGTAGGTGGGACATTATGGATGTTCTGTATTATGTCATCTTCCTATAATTATTGTCAAGTTTTTTTTCTGGCTGGCAGTTAGATTGCCAGTGAGTCAACTTGACCTGTCATGTCTTGGTTTTAGACTTTACTAAAGATGAGAGGCTAGGTGTGGTGGCTCACAACTGTAATCCCAGCAATTTGAGAGGCCAAGGTGGGTGGATCACCTGAGATCAGGAGTTCAAGACCAGCCTGGCCAACATGGTGAAACCCCGTCTCTACTAAAAATACAAAAATTAGCCTGGCATGGTGGGAGGCACCTGTAATCCCAGCTACTCAGGAAGCTGAGGTGGGAGAATTGCTTGAACCTGAGAGGTGCAGGTTGCAGCGTGCCAAGATTGCACCACTGCACTCCAGCCTGGACAACAGACCAAGACTCCATCCATCTCAAAAAGAAAAAAAAAAAAAGATGAGAAATTTTGGCTTTAAATTTACATATAGAAAACTGTACTTTCTCATAAACATGGCTCTTCTGGGACCTCAAGTATATTCCCAGGGAGTTCACCAAGGTGTCTCTACTATAACTATGGCTGAACTCTGTATCTTCCCAGATGGTCCAACCGTGAAATCTCTTCCCAGTTTTCTGGCACACAGCAAATATACTCCCTGCTAGGTGTTGCTGAGTGTTGCCCTGAACATGCATATGTTTTGAGTTGTATATGATGTTAGCTATAGGATTTTTGTGGATATTCTTTATTGAGTTGAGAAAGTTCCTCTCTATTACTAGTTTACCTAGAGTTTTTATTGTGAATTGGTGTTAGATTTCATCAAGTGTGTTTTATGCAGCTACTGATATGATTATGTGATTTTTTTCCTTCTTGAGCCTGTTGATGTGATGGGGTACATTAGTGGATTTTAAATTGTTGAACCAGCTTTGCATATCTGAAATACATCCCACTTGGTCATGATTTATACTTATTTCTATATATTGTGAAATTTGATTTGCCAATATTTTATTGAAGATTTTTACATCTATGTTCAAAAGCTAACTTTTTAAAACTTTTATTTTAGGTTTGGGGTACATGTGCAGGTTTGTAATATAGGTAAACTCATGTCATAAGGGTTTATTATACAGATTATTTCATCACTTTTATTCCATGTCACAGATTATTCCATGTCTTTGTATTGTGAATACTGCTGCAATGAAGATACACATGCATGAGTTTTATAGTAGAATGATTTATATTCCTTTGGATATGTACCCAGTAATGAAATTATTGGGTCGAATGATAGTTCTGTTTTTAACTCTTTGAGGAATCAGCACACTGCCAGAAGCTCACTTTTTATACTCATCTAGAAATCAGTACATCCAGTCTTGGAGCATAATTGTGGAGGGTTTCAGAATGACAGAAGTATGACAAGCAGTGTGTGTCATCTATTTATATTTATTTGAGTGGGATTATTGAGGGCTATTGGGGAGGGAAAGAAATGAGTTCATGAACAACAGCCATGCCCTATTTGAAGAATTTAAGGAGATAAACCCATATATTGTCTGGAAATCAGTCAAAATTTCAAAACATTAGAAATATAATACATAAGAGAATTCAATACAAAGGTACAAGGATAATATATTGATGTAATCCAGCCAATTAAGTGATTATTCACATAAATAACTAAAGAATGATAAAAAGCTGTTAATGAGTATTACATTTAGACATAAAAATTTTAAACTGGTAGAATTATTATCATAAAAGAGAATGTAAACATACAAAACTTGAAAATATAAAATTAAAGGGCCCAGCCTCTTAGAGTTGTTTCTATTTATTAGAAATAACAATTCCATTTTGAAAAACGAGTAACTCTTGTCCTAAAAAAATCATTATGTGAAATTATCAAATCCTTCAGCTTTATTTGTATTCTTTCCTTCTAATAAATTCCAGAAAACTAAATTTAATGCTCACTGATAAAAATAGCAAGGATATTTTGCCGGACACACTATCTTCCTTCTTCCTCACTGCCTACCCATGATCCTGTTCACCTTCTTTAAGAGGGCACCTGTTCCTGAGGGTGCTAGGCTCATCTTCTGCTTTAAGGAATTCCTTGTTTGATATAAGGCAATCTATGGTCGTCTTATCATCTTTGTGAAGTGCCAAGAAGACCCGATTTGGGAAAAGTCTGCTGGGGAAAAGTTTTTATCCCATTCAAAATAAACAAAAGATGGGAAATTCAATTTTCTGTTTGTAGTACTTAGAGCCCCATACTATCTCAGCTGTGACACATTCAAACACCATGACTTTGAGTAAACTGTGGTTGTTTTAACTTCTCTGTACTTTAATTCTTCATGTAACTGGTGATAATACCAAAAACCTATCTCATGAGGTTGTAATAAATATTAAACATGTAAAACGCTTAGAAAAGTACCTGGCAGATACCAAACCCAATGTGTTTAATACTATTACTATTACAATTATTATGAGCATTCTAGGAAACTACCTGAATTAATGATCAGCTGTTACTATATCTTCCTCTCAGGCATTTTAAATTTATCTCTGTGCCTTCCATTTTATTTATTTATTAATCTTTGCTAAAAGTGCTGAAAATAAAATTCAGTTTTAATGGCTCTGCCTTTTCTCTGTCATATATGAGGCTGACACCAGCTTCTAGGCAATGCTTTTAAAATCTTATTATTCTCCTTTGGAACTTTTTGGTCCTTACTGGATTTTCCTCTGACTCTATTTCACCTCCACCCTCTCAAATTTATCTTTTTTAAAAATATGAGGTCAGTCTGTGCTTGGATTATCTTCTAAAAAGTTTTTCAGAATTTATCTAGTAGCTATGATGACTAATCCTTCTGTCCCTAATTCGTTCTCATTGGAATTGTGATTTTTAAAATCAGAATTATATCTCTTTTTTTTTTAAGAATCTCTCTGCCATGGGATCATACCTATTTTTTCTCTATGAACATTTTGAAATCTGCTTTCCCAAAGCCAAGGTCACATCCAAATCTGCCCAGCAAAAATAATTATAATGATTATAGGAAAAGCAGATGTTTGAGAAAATAGAAACCATTTTAGAGACCTGTCAGTATGTCCAATAGGAGGGTAGGAGGGTAAGAGAGGGACATGCCCGTCAGTTTAACACTGTCTGCAGGTGGAAGTTGAAGATGAATGAGTATTGAATCACTGACTTGTCTGGCTTGTAAAAAAGCATCTTGAATGGGTGACAAGCTCTAGCTATTCTCTGTATTACAAGCTCCTTTAGCAACCAAGGTCGGTGGGGGAGGGGGCATTGCAATATGAATGGCAGAGAGTCTCTCTATTCAGAAATATTCCACAAAGAATATTCCCCATTTATCGAATCCTTACTATATGCCAGGCATTGTAATGAGAACTTGACATCAATAACTCATTTGAACCATTTTACAAGTGACACAGGATCTGAAAAATATTTTCAGGGGCACACAGCTAGTAAGTCAGGAGCTGTTGGATTTGAACTTCTGACTGCTTAAATCTAACATCTGTGCTCTCTGCATGTGTCATGTGTTTTATAAAATACTCATTTTAGGTGCACTTTCAAAATAAAGTCTTTTCTGGGAGTGGCAGAAGTGCCAAAGGTTTTGCACATCTTAGGTTCTTGACATTTTAGTTTATATTTCTGACACCAAGTTTGAATTTTCCAGCATTCCCTGATACAATGGTGAGCTCTTTGTATACAATGTTTCCGAAACACTAAATTCATACACGCAAAAAGGGGTCTCTCCAATCCACCACTAGCCACTAAAAAGAAAAAATACAGAACATTTCTGTTCAGAATGACTTTGGAATCACGATTTTTCCTAAACATCTGAAGAGTAAACTGATTTTTTGGGGAACATCCCATTTAATTTTTTTCCCCTGACTTCAAGGGTAATCAACAAACCATCACAAAGAAGTAATCAGCATGTTTTCATCTCCTAAGGCATATACAGCAGGTACAAAGGACAAGACAAAACACCAAGGAAGAGAATACTATATAAACACATCAAACACCTTGGAAAAATTACAATAATTAAAGTTATATTAAATGTTAGTGCATTTTGATTGTGGGGTATATGTTAGTGTATCCTCAAGTACAAGTATATACGATCTTTTTAAATTAGTGTACGAAAAGGAAAAAAAAAACCAACATTAACATGCTTTTACAAACAAACACCTGTATTCATTTTCCACCTTGAACATTCATGGCCAGAAAAGCAAATCTCACCAGAACTACCGTTTTTTGTTTGCTCTTTGTGCCTATTGTGAAGAGAAAGTAACAAAGTTGTTTGCTCCAGGATTATGGGAACTGATTGGCGTTTTTATATGAAAAATGAAGACTGTTTTCCTTGTTTCTAGGCTGATTATATTTACTAAACTGTAATGATACACACCAAAGTATTGTTGTGTATCAAACTGTAACTGGAGTGTGTGTGTGTGTGTGTGTGTGTGTAACAGGGAAAAAGAAATAGATGGGCAGAGAAAAATAATCATACATAGCTAATTTTAAAAGAGTGATACTGCTGGTTGGGCAGATGAAACAATCTTTCAATACCAATTGTCCTGAAATCTGGTTTTAACTGAATATAACTGAATGGTATTCTCTTGATAGATAACAAATATTTTCAAGCATTTTTAATCTAGCTTCCTCTGACTGCTATAGTAACTCACAAATAACTGATCAGTTCTTGCCTCTTACTTGGAATTGCCATGGAATTTATCATCTAAAATGGGACACTTTTGAGCACATGTATGAGGGTGCTATTTTTAACTAGATTAATACAATAAGCTTAAACTGCAACAAATCCAGAAAATCAAGCAGGCTGGCTCACTCTACTCATGTTAAACTTTTGTCTTGTTACAGCTTTTTTCTGCAACATAGAGGTAAAAGAAGCATTTTATATTCTTTCTTATGTTTGCCCACATACATGTGTTGTGTGTATAGGGCGTATCTTTTGATATGTTTATACTGGAACTGATGCTGTATGCCCAGAGCATATAAAAATAGATTAACAGACACATAAAAATACAATGCATAGGTAATTTTTTCCTAAGCCTTAATTTAGCTAGTGGGCTGGAAAATGTCAACATGCAAGGGGTTAAAGAACAGCTGATGCCTCATGGAAACTTTGTAAAACATTCTATTTATAAACAATTCTATTTGGATATCACATTTTCTATAATGCCATTGGCTTGTTTTATTTTTATACCTTAGAAAGTTTCCATGAAAGAGTATGGGCTCAAGGTTATCTTTCTTATGCTTATTTTGGCTTATTTGATTCTGAATGCATCAGGCTTTTCTAATTTGTTTAACTGCTCTAAAATAAAATGTGTTTTCATATGAATTCTACACAATAAACTCACAATGAATAATATCTACAAAAATATTGAAACTACACACTTTTGTTTTTGTTTTAACTAAGGTGTATCACATCTACAACATGTAAAATCTTAGAAATCTTATGTTACATAAGCACAAACAATGGCTTCTAATCAAGCTTCAAATAATAAGACCTAGTGCTTGATAATTAGGGTAGCTATAGTTTCCAGTAATCGATTATATGTTTCAAAATAGCTAGAAGAGAATACTTCAAATGTTTCTAGCATAAAGAAAAGCCAATTTAAGGTTATATCACAATTCCACTGATTTTATCTTTACAAATCATGTCAATGTAATAAATTATCACGACTTCAAAAATATGTACATTATGTATTACAAAAATAATCTAAATAAATTATACTTCTCAGACTTTGTGAAGAATTCTGTACCATAAAAGCAGATCAATATGAAATGTAAACCACTGATTACAGAAAGAATGCTAGCAACTCAGAAAACTGCTAGGACCCTGATTTTTAAAATAGATTTGAAAAATAGTGTGATTGCTTAGAAATGTATGTTATCAGCACCACTTCAAAGGACCTTTTGAAGTTTGACAACCTGTGACTGGAAGAACTTCCCTATATGAGTATAATAATCCAATTTCTGAATGGGTCTCACTGTATATAAGGAAGGCTGCATTTTGTTGTTTTAGGGAACTGTGGGGTAGAATCACCCAACTTTTGCTCAGTGAGACCCTCTTAATTTTTTCCTTAATTCAGACAACCAGAAGAGCCTAACTTTAAGTTTGGATCTATGGTTTTATTTTCCATTATGACTTATATTAAAGTTTCTTTATAATCTTGGCCCCAATTTCTCTTGTCTTATTTCTTTCACTTCTCTTTATTCACCAAACATGATGGGTAAAAATAAACTTCCCCTAATTCGCAAACAGACACCCTTTTATCTCTATGCTTTTGCTTAAGCATTCTTTCTGCTGGAAAATATGTATGTCTTTATCTCCTACTTTTATCTTTATGTCAGGATGTCTGGAATTAGTTAGGTGTCCCTCCCTCACAAAGCCATTTGTGATCACAGCACTTGTGTTTTCTCTAGGTTCATCCTGAACATAGATGAGTTGCTAAGACAGTGAGCGGAAATTAAAAGGGGTGAAGATATTATGGAAATAGCATAGATTATTCTATTGAAAGCAATAAAGAGCAAAATCAACTTTCTAAAACTGCAAATAAGTCCACAGAAGGGCAGTTTCAACGAATTCTACTTGAAGCTAGAGAAAATGACAGATAAGACTGGTACACATGGAGAAATGAAGATAGATTCCATGTACAAGAGATTCTCCTTCCTACACGAAAGGGTGCAAAGACTGGAGCAGTATCAAATATAAGATATAAAAGTTCCCTCAATTGAAAAATCTGAAGTAATACAAAGAACTCTCTATGTTGAAAGAGAAAATAATCTTGCTTTTCTCTGGCTCTCTTTCCTTCTCTCTCTCTCTCTCATACACACACACACACATACGCACATATACATACATACAGACTATATACCAAATTAAGAAAAAAAGATTTATATCCTAGTAATAGACCTTGGGAATTTCTTTTATCTTTTTACCTATCTGGACTGGATAACTTTTTATCCTTCTCTACTAATTTTATTAATATTGAAAATTCATAGTGAAAAATTCAAAGTCTATTTCAGATCTTTTAGGAAATCCATCAGTCAGCATTTACTATAAAAATAAGTCACCCAAAGTCAGATTTTTTCCATTTTTGATACTCTTTGTCAAAACCTCTAAAATCCAAATAAATATGAGGACTTTGTTTTTTGTTAGTGTGTGGTTGCATGTTTGAAAAGCAAGTCCTCTGATCTAAATCCAGGCCCATTTCTTGGGGAGTTGCAGTTGTTAATACCTTTTCTAAAGTTCCTTTGATACGGCTTAATTTTTATTCTTTAACATATTCATGTTCGAGTATAGATTCCGCATAAGGCTACTTTTCTTCCCACTGATGTCTTTATTTTGTATGATTATGGAGTTTTTCCTTGAGAGGACCCGTATTGTTTGGCACATTGTTCTTTTTGTTTTAAGATTTCCTTTTGCTGAGATCCCAAGGGCTTAATTTAGAGTTTGCAGAAATTGAATGAAAATGATTTGCCACATATATAAAAGAAAATGCATGAAAAATAAATGCTACTTCCTGTCATAAATATTGTTGGTGCCTTCATATACCCTCAGAATTCACCTTAGTTTGTTTACTATAAATACCTGTGAACTGTTGCCTGAGGGTTTATTTCTGGGCCAGGATAAGCAGTCTGCCTGTACACAAAGTAATGAGTTCCCAGAAGCAGCCCTTAACCAGTAATGTACAGGGAGTTGGCTTATTTTATCCCAGATTCCCTGCCCTAACTTGGAATAACTTTAAGGTACATCTTGTATGTTTTATAAGCATTCCCCAGAAGGAATGATCTGCATGCATCCACAGTGGTAACAGGCTTGATAACACATCATTTACTGGCTTTTGGTTTTCTTCCCTTCCCTGTGTCTACTCTCTCATCAGTGTTTCCTGGGAATACCTATCAAATAAAAGTACTCGCACTATAATTTTTGCCTCAGGGTTAGATTCTTGAGAAACCCAAGCTGAGCAGCTCGCATTAGAAGTGGTCTTGGGAAGTAGCCCTTCAAGATGAAATTCTGGAACTGGACCAGGCACTACAGCATAGAGATGTGAATGGCACAGAGCTATACTGCTTGGTTTCTAGGGCAAATTCCAATAAGAGTGACTAAGAAAACTCATTGGCACACTGGTAAACTAGCTCTGTGGGGACAAAAAGATCCTATTTGTAATGTTTGCCAATGTCCATGTTTTACATACTCCTGTCATGGCCAGCTTCAAGCTATCAATGTGATGCCACTGAAAGTGAAGCTGGGAAGAGTTGCACATCTCAGCTTTCATGGGCCAGCAGGGCTCATGAAAAGCAAGGCTCATTTCAGGAGCAAGGTCACACCATCTTCAGCAGAGAAGTACTCACTGTCTAGGAAGCAGTCAAAAACTTGAACTGGCCCTTGTTAGAAACTGAGCACCTAACCATGACATAAAAGGACTTAAAAAACAACTGCCCATCACGCACTGGTCATAAGATTGTTCAGACATTAGTCTAATCCAGAATGCACAAAAGAAATTATATCAACCAGTTTCCCAGATCTCCATGTCACCTAAAAAGTTTGCACTAGTACCTCTCCCTCAACCTCTATGGCCTTGTTGATGGAGGACATAAACTCAGGTCTGACCTGTTACGTTGGCAAAAGCCAGAAATGCACTGAGGATATCCCATCTTGTGGTATCTGTGAAAGACAGTGGTAAAGTGAAGTTCCATAAAGAAACATATCTTTGAGATGCACACCTGGTCATGAATTTGGTATGGAGAAAGAAGCAGACTTAGGTAAGGACATAAATGGTCTTCTGGGCACTGATGAATGGCTTAGCTGGTTGAGCAGGCACCTGGAAGGCACAGTGTTGGATGATTAGCTACAAAAATGCCTATATAAAGGCATGTGGCTAGACCTGTCAGATTGGACAGAGTGTGTGAATCTTTGAGCATTAAGCCACAAAGAGTTCACTGCAACCAGGAGTTACAGTGATTCATAAAGGGAGGGCACCAAACCTCTGACCTTGACTACCCCAATACTTGCACTAGTCACTCAAGAGCGGAGCAATAGGGATGGAGGCAATGCATGGGCCCAAAATCATGGTTTTCTTTTCATCAAGGCTGATGTTTTCATAGCCACACAAATCATCTGACCTGTCAGCAACTAAAATGTGCTGTTATCCCTTGAGAAGACCTAACAGTCACTAAGATTGAGTCATATTCTAAGGGTAGATTAGCCTTTGGTGCGTGTAATTCCTAAGCCAGCACCATTATCTGGGGAATCACAGAGTGTCTGATTTATTGTTGTAATATCCTTCATTTCATCATTTCTGATCACAGTCTCACTTTATAGAAAGGAGATGTGATAGTGAGTATAAAATCATGTCACTCATTTGCCAACTACATACCATGTAGCCTAGAAGTTGCCAGTCAGATGGAAAGGACCACATTATGACTATCTTGGACCCAAAATACTTACCTCCAATAGAAAAAATATATAGACTCACAGACACATGTATGTGTATATATTTTATTATTTTGTTAGTATAAATATGAATATAGTCAAGACTAGATTCAAGATTATATATTCATTATTATATTGTTTCTTCTGATTTTAAAAGATATTAAAATTAAAGCATTTCATGGAGCCCTAAATACTGTAGGCCCTAGGTACTGTACTTATTGTGCCTTATAGATAAGCTGACTCTGCCGTTAAGAATATTGGAATGGCTCTGAAAAGTATAGCTAAGGTGCCACGTCAGGGAAGACACTCTGCAGGGCTGCAATTTTTACATTTAAGAAACAGTTTACTCTTTTAACAAATGGCCAGTATAAGGGGCTGTGTCCCTGAAGACTGAAACACACGAATCTGGGAACCAAGGATGCAAATAGGAGTAACATCTTCTGCCAATGACACACACTATAGTTTACCTGTGATTTTGGAGTGAGAAGCATGTTACAGTAGAGAATTTTAAAATATGTGAGGGTTGGAATGGCCTTTAAGGGTATGGGAGAAATAGGTGAACAAGTCACACAGTTACTTAGTGATGCTGGGTCCATCTGAGATTAGATAACCTTTCATCACAGCACACATTTGCTTCCTTGAGTAAAATTTCCTTGAAACGCACTCACAAGGTCTGGAGTGAGAGCGGAAAATTCAAATGTCCGAAGGACTCACTGATGAGATTTTGAAAGTCAATAAAACCGGTTATTAGCCTGAACTAATCTGACATGATATATCATCAGTATTGGCTACATTGGGGAAGAAGTAAAATTAGGAGAGAGTTGATAAAAGAAAGAACTTAATGAGGTAAAGGATCTTGGTAAGGTAAATGGGGTCAGAGAGTGAGTTACGTGGATGCCTAGAAGGAAAGTGGAAGAATAACTGAAGTGAAAGTATAGATTGGAATACTGGAGATGAAGAATTCATAAGTGGGTAGTTTTATATTTTAACAATATTCAAAGTATGGTGATGAGAACGGGTAACGGACTTTGCCTGCATAACACCTTAGCTATTCAGGTGTTTGAATACCCTATTTACAATACTTAGAGATAAGGTTCATTTGTAAATATGAAATTAAAGGAAGTGTGTGCCTAAGGTGTTAATGGTTAGTTATATGAAGTGCCCTGGGATGTTAAAAAACATTTGGAAAATTTATTAAAATTCTGACAGTCTACCAACATCAAGATGGTTTAATTCATCATTTAAGAAATCATATATTGATCAAGAAACAATTGTTGATCCCTCGAAGAGATGTGAGTCAATCCTGAGACTGAAATGGAACAGCAAGGAAATTTGAAATACACAAAAGTCCACAAATGAACCAAAGTTCAATTTCTCAATGAGTAGTGTGAGAAGAAAAAATAACTGCCTTGCAGGATTGTTACACAAACCAATAATATAAAAGCTTCTGAGAGAGCTCATAGAAGACATCTAACATTTTAATTTATGTATTCATTCAATAAATGTCTTCTCATACTTCCTATGCCCAGCAATATAATAGGTACTTGTGACATGCAAAAAGGACTCCATTCTTAAATAACTTGAAGTCTATCTAGGGGTTGAAGTGGACAGTTTTCATATTAATTATTCGTGACCCAGCATGGAGCACCTCTTTCTCAGGGAAGCCTCATCAACTGAATACGTTGAGTCCCTGGGTGCATGCTTCTATAGCAACCTGTACTCCTGCTTTTATCACATTTTAAAATAATTACTTGTTAATGTCAATGTTTCTCATAACCCTTGTTCTGTCTATTAGGATATGCATTCTGAAGCTGGGCTACACTGGTGATCATAGGCAAGTTACTTAAACTCTCTGGGACTCAGCTGCCTCATTTATACTATGGTGATAGCAAGAGTATCTACCACTTCATAGAGTTGTTGCTCAGGTCAATTAATTCATAGATGTGTATTGTTCATAAGAAATAAAAGAAATAATATATTGACCATGTAATAATTGTTGATCCCTCTTAGGAAACTCTTTACTAAGTCAAGTTCAATGGACAAAGCATTGTATTCAGAGCCAGAAAATTCATATTCTAGACCTCATTGCTCCAACTCAGTTGTAGGTATCAGAAAATCAAGTTTACTTGCTTGATAAAATATTGGGGCTTTAGTCTAATCTGAAACTCTGAAAAAGTGCCTTTACATCCCGATAGCTAACTCAAATAGCTCGTTTAAGTGGAAATACTTTAACGAAAAGGATCATTATTTCATGCATCTTTATAATGTCCTCTGTCCTAAGCACTGTCTGGCCCATGATGGGTGCTCATAAATGTTTGTTAAATCGAACAGAATATCATCAGATCAAGCTTCACAGAAGGTCATGGGCTTAGACCCAGGTGCAGACAGTGTAATATAAACCTCATGGGAAACTGTCAAAGCACAGCTCTCATGCTATGATATAAGAATTCTTTGGCAAATGACTTTCTCCATGATCTCTCATGGCTTATTTGTAGAAAGGGAAAAACCAGGTGTCCTGACTACTGTTCCACTGACTCCAAAAGGAGTACATCAAATACATTTTTCAGACAATAACTTGGAACATAATGATGGCCAAAAACAACTTCTGTGATAATAACTTGATTCTATGATAGCAAATATTAAGGTAATACATACAGACAAGTCAAACTGACAAATTTCTACCCTCTCTCTAATAATAAATCAAAATGGCTAACAGGAGAAAAGCAATCATGAGTTAATGACTTTATGTCATGGGTCTCAAAAAGGTTGATCATTATACAACCTTCTCTACCTAAAAGAATATTGAGTAACGACATCTTCAACAGTTGCATTGCAGATACGTACCATAATTCATTTAATCAAATCCTCTATATCAATAAACACTTAGGTTACTCTTAATTTTTTAAATGTAAACATCCTTAATACATAAATAGCTTTTAAAAATTAACAGTAAAAACAAAAATATTAATACTGAAGAATGACCATCATAAATAATTGCATGCATATATTTGAGCATTGGTTCTATTATGTCTTTAGGCAATAGTCTAGAGATATGAATGTGAGTTGAGGAATATTCAGTTTGCATTTTTGTTATTTTTATTTTAATTTTGATAGTTTTGGGGGAACAGGTGGGTTTTGGTTACATGGATAAGTTCTTTAGTGGCGATTCCTGAAATACTGGTGCACCCATTACCCGAGTGGTATACACTGTACCAATTGTAGTCTTTTATCCCTCACACCCTCCCACCCCTTCCCCGTGAGTCCCCAAAGTTCTTTCTTGTGCGTTTGCAACTTCATAGCTTAGCTCCCATTTATAAGTAAGAACATAGGATATTTGGTTTTCCATTCCTGAATTACTTCACTCTGAATAATAGCCTCCAAATCCATCCAAATTGCTTCAAAGCCATTATTTCATTCTCTCTTTTTTTTTTTTTTTTTTTTTTTTGAGACGGAGTCTCGCTCTGTCACCCAGGCTGGAGTGCAGTGGCACGATCTCGACTCACTGCAACCTCTGCCTCCCGGGTTCAAGCAATTCTCCTGCCTCAGCCTTCTAAGTAGCTGGGATTACAGGCACCCGCCACCACGCCCAGCTAATTTTTGTATTTTTAGTAGAGACGGGGTTTCACCATGTTGGTCAAGCTGGTCTCAAACCCCTGACCTCATGATCCACCCGCCTTGGCCTCCCAAAGTGCTAGGATTACAGGCGTGAGCCACCGCGCCCGGCCCTTTTCGCTGAGTAATATTCCATGGACTATATATATCACATTTGGCTGGTTCCATATTTTTGCAATTGGGAAATGTGCTGCTAACTTGTCTCAAGAAATTTCTCCTGGAAGAGACTGTATCTCCATTCTCCTACCAACACTTTTATTATTTACCTTTTTATTGTGTCAATCTAATAGACTAATTAATCATCTTAGTTGGTTTAACTTGCTTTTATTTAGTCACCACCAAGGGTGACTATCTTTTCATTAGGTTCTTGTTTAGGTCTCAGCTTAAGTATCAGCTCCTCAGAGATGCCTTCTCTGAGTCTTTATCTAAAAAGCAGCCTCCTTGGTGTCATAGTGTCGTTTTCCTTTTCATTTTAAAAAATTATATGCTCATGTTTATTTTTCTCGAGCATTTTTTATGATTGATAAGTATTTTAATAAGATTTAATCACCACATCATATTACCTTTAATAATGATAGGCTCACATTGTTGAGAGCTATATGTTTTTCCTGTTACCATTTCATTTAATCCACTTAGCAACTCTGTGGGATAGGTACTATTATTATCTACATTCTACAGATGAGGAAACTGAAAGGTTACCTGACTGGCCAAAAATATCACAGCACTAGAATACAGTGCAGATGTCTGTGGCCTAGAGAAGTTAAGTTGCTTAAAAGGACACACAGCTAGTAAACTGAAGATACAACTCAAACTCCAGTCTGGGTTCTTCAGCTGCAATTTAGCCCACTCACTGACTAATCATTATAATTTATCTGCAGATATCTCTTTTCTAGATGTTTTCATTAGGATTCAGAATCAGGTTCTTAGAGCCACTTCCAAAAATTCCCTTTCACTTCAAACCACAAGGCTATCCTCAATTAGGAACTAATAATAGACTAGCAAAAAGGGTAAGAATATTTTACTTAGCCCATTATTCTCAGAGAAAGAATGGTAAAGGGGACTCAGTTTATTCTATGAAGCATTCCTTATGGAAAATTATGTACATGTGACATTCAACAACATAAGGGAATTTTCAAATGTAAATATTCAATCGATCATACATATGGCTTTCTCCTATTTTTTGGTTTCTCTTTCACTGACTGCTTCAATTCATTCTAAGTAAGCCTGGGAAAATATTTTTTTTTAATTCCTATTAATCATAGTGTTAACCCTAGGGGTTAAGACAGAGTATTTTGAAATGATATTTTTCCTAACCAGGGGGAAGGCCACAGGAGCCAGAATGGCTTGGGTTTCCAAACACAAAAAGCATAAATAAAATCAAACATTATCACACTATCAAACATTCATAAATCCTTTCACAATCCTGCTGCCATATTTCCTTTACTCTTTCATTTTTTTCCTGTTTCCTCTTTAAAACATTGCCAATAACTTAACTCCATTACTTTGATTTTTTCCATACCAAAAAAATTCCATGTGTACGGTTTTCCAGCATTTATGATTTTGACAAGTTTATTTCTTTGTCATCTTTTCTCCCTCATGGCACCTGTAAGAACCCTTTACCTTTAAATCTTACCATCATTTCTCAATGGTAGCTTCTTTTACTACCTCAGGCTCCCATGCAAAACCAGGTGGAAAAAGAAAACCCTCTAGAGTTTTCTTGATCATATCACTTTTAAAAGTCTTATTTGGATATTCACTTAAAAGAAAGTGTTAATATGATGATCTAGAAGTTTGCAAATCTCACTTAGGCTATTTAATATTTAGTGTTTAAAAATCTTCATCTCTAGGGGAGGTCTAAAAGTACATGATGCAAGGAAAAGAGAGTCTTACTCTTTGCCTTCCCATATATTGACACTGTCAATCCCTTAGGGCCACAAAGAAAGAACAGTATCCTCTAAACTACCCCTTCTTTATTCTACCACCTCATTGCTCATTAAAGTCACTTTTAAAACTATCTGAAAATAGCTCATTAAAGTCACTTTTAAAACTATCAGAAAATAGCTAAATGTTCCACTCAAAAGATTATGTAATTATATACTTCACAACATAGGCTTTCCAGGTGAGTGGATAAAGAAGCTTTGCATAGTAAATCCCATAAGCAGACCAGCAAAATCATCTAAAACAAAATTAGATGATAATTCCTCCAGCCCTGTTAGTGGAATTGCTTTAGTTTTAATACAGCACAATGTGTTCCGAATTCTAAAACATAATTCAAAATAAACAAAATATTATCAATAAGTAATTTTCCCTGAATCAGTTCTCTGGATCCAGACATGTCATTTGGTCTAATTTATGCTTTAACCTACCCACCACAGGATGAAGAGTGTTTCCAGCAAGCACATTTGTTTTTAGACTTTAAATTCAAAAAATGCAGCCATCCAGGAGTTTAAATGAATTCCCCGAAATGGACAGAGTCCAAACTGTGATGATTATAGAAGTAAAGCTCAAATAATCATCTTATAACCTTTATATCCAGTTTGGCTCAATTCTACTGAGAACTGTGAGAGACGGTTCTGGTGATAAGTAGATTAGATGATAAGCATCTGTTTGCCTGTCTTCTCTGACTTAGAAAAATACTGAGGAAAGACCATTTCTACGAATTTAATAATAATTGTGTTGCTTTTGGTTTCCTCCCTTTGCTTGTAACTCCAGAGAAAAACACCTCATTATCCTTAACCCTTCCAAATTCCTGTGGATGCTTCACAACCACTGGCTTCTATTTAATTTCTTTTGGATCTTTCAAAGTGTTAAGTATTTGGCTCCTCTATATATGAATATCTAATTATCCTAAGCACTGCTGAACTTCTAAAGTAACTACTTTTCTTTCTTTGATTTGCAGTTCTCTATACTGACTTCTTCAGTTCAACATCAAATGCCCCTGAATCCTCTTAAAAGCCAATCTACAATTGGAACTCAATTTCTCCCTTCTCTGGTTTCGTATTGCCTGCATTGTAGGTCTTTTGAAAGATAATTCTTTAAACCTCCTTGCATGTTAAGCAATAGACAAGAGCACAAAGAAGCAATTGAATTTGAGAAAAATTAACTAAAATAGCAGGCAGTACAACATAGTGATTAAGAAAATGACATTGGCAGCCAGGCGCAGTGGCTCACACCTGTAATACCAGCACTTTGGGAGGCCGAGGCAGGCAGATCATCTGAGGTCAGGAGTTGGAGACCAGCTTGGCCAACATGGTGAGAACCCGTCTCTAATAAAAATACAAAAATTAGCTGGGCGTGGTGGCAGGTGCCTGTAATCCCACCTACTCAGGAGGCTGAGCCAGGAGAATCGCTTGAACCTGGGAGGCAGAGGTTGCAGTAAGCTGAGATCGTGCCACTGCACTTAAGCCTGGGCAACAAAGTGAGACTCTGTCTCAAAAAAAAAAAGGAGAGAAAATGACATTGGCATTCACACTGTGTGGGTTCAGGTGTGGCTTTGCTACTTCCAGGCTATGTGATCTCGAGCACATTATTTTCTCTAGACTTTAGTTTCCTCATACCTAAAACAAAGATAATTATAGTAACTATCTTACAGATTAATGGTGAGACAAAGAAAATCCACGTCAATAACCCAGCAAATTTTCTGGCACATAACACACCTTTATCGTTTTTATTAATAATGGCAATATAGAACCAGAAATTCCATTTGACCCAGCAATCCCATTACTGGGTATATACCCAAAGGATTGTAAATCATTCTACTATAAAGACACATGCACATGTATGTTTACTGCAGCACTGTTTACAATAGCAAAGACTTTGAACCAACCCAAATGCCCATCAATGATAGACTGGATAAAGAAAGTGTGGCACATATACACTGTGGAATACTATGCAGCCATAAAAAAGAATGAGTTCATGTCCTTTGCAGGGACCTGTATGAAGCTGGAAACCACCATTCCCAGCAAACTAACCTGGGAACAGAAAACCAAACACCACATGTTCTCACTCATAAGTGGGAGTTGAACAATGAGGATACATGGGCACAAGGAGGGGAACATCACACACGGGGGCTTGTTGGGGGGTTGGGGGCAAGGGGAGGGAGAGCATTAGGACAAATACCTAATGAAGATGATGGGTAGATGGGTGCAGCAAACCACCATGGCACATGTATACCTATGTAACAAACCTGCATGTTCTGCACATGTATCCCAGAACTTAAAGTATAATAAAAAATTTTTAAAAATATTTCTCTCCTAGGTTTTTGCTGTCGTATTTCACATCCTAAATTTACCTTCTCGGTTATCAAATTTGGCCCAACCAAAGCCTAGTTCTACCATTGTTCTAAGGCTTCTACATTGATTCCCCTGTCATCTGCATAAAGGGCATTCCTACCAGATTATCAGCTGTCTTAGCTCCTACTTGACCAATGAAGCTGTGCCATTATGACAACTTATCCTTTGTTCCAAGCTTCCTAATTTATAAATCAGGCGTTCTTACAGAGAGCAAACTATTGAAAATAAAATTTTCCTGAAGGATCTTACTCAAAAGAATACCAATGAGTAAAGATTCTTGGTTACAATCCACAGAACCTGATTATGGTCAATTTAAGAAGAAAAGAAATGGACTACAGGGATACGGGTAGTTCACAGCTTAGAGAACCAGGTGCCAAAAATGACTAATAATCAACGTAGGCAAGAAATATGAGTATTGCATTGCCCAAGGTGGAAGAAGCATGGGCACAGTCACCCCGAGAACATTCTCGTTAGGTGACTTTTGATGATACCACACTTCTGGTACTGCCGCCATTAAATGTTCAAGCACACCACATCTAAATCCCTGGTGCTGCTACCTTTGCCACACACCTCACAATTCTCACAGCCACTATTACCATTGCCACCATGAATAATGTTTATCCCCATAAAATTAAAGTGCTCTGCCAAGACTCAATGGATGAACCTGGAAACCATCATCCTCAGCAAACTAACACAGGAACAGAAAACCAAACATCACATGTTCTCACTCATACGTGGGAGCTGAACAATGAGAACACATGGACACAGGGAGGGAAGCATCACACACAGGGTCCTGTCAGGGGGTGGGGGGCAATGGGAGAGAGAGCATTAGGACAAATATCTAACGCATGTGGGGCTTAAAACCTAGATGGTGGGTTGATAGGTGCAGCAAACCACCATGGCACATGTATACCTATGTAACAAACCTGCACGTTCTGCACATGTATCCCAGAACTTAAAGTAAAATTTTAAAAAAAAAGAAATTAATGAAAATATTAGGAAATGGTAAGTTTCTCTTTACCCGCATCATCCACTTGGAATCTGTTAAGTATTTCTATGTATCAATTACTTGTAAAGTATAAAGAAAATATATAGACTTGGCCCCTGTATTTGCCGTAATAGAAGTCTATTTGCAACCGAAAAGACAAATTAATACCTAATTCAAGACTACTTTGTTTTGTGTGTATCACATGCACTTTAAGCCACTAAAAGTCAGAGCAGGGAACACATAGAATGTATCTGAATATTAACTTGATTCACTAACAAGAAATTCATGACCTTACCTTTTCAAAAATCCTGGAATTTCAATAATTGTAACTGGATAAAGAACAAGTGGACATTTAGAATGTGTTATGTTTGCTAATTTTCAGTGATATTGTTGAACCACATTGAATCTCCAGCAGTCCATACAGTAACCGAATCCAATAGAGATCGGCATTCTTGTTATTTTAACGACAGGCAAAATAATCACTGCCGGGTTAATACTCAAGGGTCGGAAACGGCATGTCACTATTTGTTCCACTTGGAGTGGAACAGAAAGGAGAATACCCTGTTCTGAGGCCTGCAGTGCTTTATTAGGGACACAATTATGAATATAGAATGATAAATATTACCAACAGCTGTATGGTTATTTTAATTTATAGTCATGTAATCACTAAGAGTGCTATTCATGCTTTCCAATGCTTGCATACATATATTCTTGTTAATGCCAAAAGAAAAAAAATTATCCCTAACAATATATAGATATACTATGGCCTAAAAGAACATTTAACGGGAAATTGAACTAAAATGGCTTTCAATTAAATTAGATTTTTTGTACTAAGAATATTTTTGGTTGTGGAGAATTGAAATTGGCTCTATTAAAATAATACCAAATACCTAAACAACAGAAAAATATTTTTGGTTCTCTTGAATCATCTTGGAATCTGTTTCATATAGAGATATTTACATGCATAAGTATTTTTTTAAAACTATAAAGATGGTAGCAGTTTGAGCACTGATGGTATCAGGTGGGCACTGCTTTCTCAATACTTTACGAAGGTGCATGCTTTTATGACACTTTACCTCTGTCCACATCTTCTGGTGTAATGGGATCTTTTCTATGCCATTATTTATCAAAGAGTTCATTCTCCAAGTGTACTCCAGATATTTAATCCCTAAATTATGATTCCCACCTATTACCTGCCCATTTTTCAAAGGCACCAGAAACATTTTAGTATTAAACTGTCTCTATTTGTCAAGTAATAATATGGAAATAATATAATGATTGTCATCTTTGAGATAACAAAAAATAGGCCATTTTTCTTTGTTATACGGGGAACTTACAACGAACTCAGTGTTCATTCCCAAATAACACCAATGTCATATGTTAATTGAGGAGGCCTTTGAGTGGAAATATGAAGTCACAGCCTTGTTGCTTCCTGTTTGTAAATACATGGAGTGGAATCTAATTAGACTCCAGAGGAAATGTTGCCCAGGGAATTTATTTGTAATACATGAAGGTGCTTAGACAATTCAAGGCTGTGCTGAAAGAGGTTGGCATTGTCATGTTATGTGATATGCTTATTTTTATTTCTCTCTAAAGCTTACCAAATAAATGAAGCTCCCACAAAGAATATGGACAGCAGGATGATTTCAGTTACATGTCTCAGGTATAAACAAGATGAATTTTTCTAGCGTAAAGCACCTGCTTCATTGTGCTTAATAAACAAAACTAGAGTGCTATTAAAGTGCGTTCATTTTAATTGTGATTGAGTGAACATGATCTGCTGTGGTATTTGCCTTTGTATAAAAATTTCTCCTTGTAATGATACTTAATCATTTTGGCATACAACATTTCAGGGGACATTAAATTACCATGGTGGAAGATTGACAATGGCCCCTGAGTCATCCAAACAAGAATTGGAAAATATTTTTCAAGCTACCTTTTCATTCTGCTAATTAAATAGAATTATAATAATCTTCTGCTATAATATATAAAACCCACTAAAGGTGAGTGAGTTAAATTTCTCCTGTAATTATATGAACTTCAAAGACCAATACATCCCTGGTAATAAGTGGTTTTGTGACTCCAAGATACATGAGCCATGGTAAAGAAAAGAAATGAATAATGTTTTAATCCGTATGACATTATTAATTTTAAGATTAAAGAGTGGAATGTTATTTCAAAAGGTCATCATAATTCCATTGTACAGATGAGATCTGAAACTCTTGTCTGCTAACCACATATATAGAATACTGTTTATTTCATATATGACAAATGATATTATATAGCAGCACAGTAAAACACTCACATATAAAAAATCTACTTAGAACACATCATTTAAAGCTCAATATTTGTTTGCGTCTCCAGAGACTATATATAGAGTATTAAATTTTATAACTAATTCGTCTGATATATTCTGAGGTTTTCGAAGCCTTAATAGAAAAATTACAGTTAAATCCCATCTAGTTGGATCTTCCTAATTATGAAATTATAAAAATTTAGAAAAGATAAGCTAAAATTTACATTTGTGCTATATATGGAGGGGAAACTTTTCAATGGAAGTTAGGATAAAGATGGCAGGGAAATGTTTAACCTCTTTAACAAAGACTTCTTAATTTTTAAAGTTTGTGTTAATAACATTTTTTTCCTATCCATGCCAACAGCAAATGCAGTGTTAAAATCATTCTCACCTAAAAGCAGTTTTGGCATATAACACTATAAGCAATAACTGTATATGTTTAATAATATATAGTTAGAAATTACTTCATATTTTTGAAAATGACAGAAATATACAAATACACACAGAGTTTAAAACATACAAGTCAGCACTTTCAAGCACGATTTTTATTTCAAATCTTATGTTTAATTAGAAGTATATTTTTATTTTGTGGCTCAGTCTAATTTATCTATATCCAGGAGAATGAAAAAAGATTAGGAGAATGATCTCCAGACAAAAATCAGATTGCCTGAGTTTGAATCCTGACTCTGACACTAGCTAGCAATTTCACATTAAGCATGTTACTTAGTCTCTCTGGAACTCACCTTTCTAGTTCATAAAATAAAGATAATAATAATACCTACTTCATAGTGTTCCTATGAGGATTACATGAATATAGGGACAGCCTTAGAACAGGGGCTGAAGCATAATAAGATGTGTATTTGCTACTGTTATTAACTACTGGTAGTAAGCATTAAGGAAAAAAAAGAAAACAAAGTGAGAAGGAAGGCAGAGAAGATGGAAAGGAGGGAGAGAAGGAAAAAGAAAACAGCCTTCCTTTGAGTCATGACATTAAGAAAGGCCTAGAGGAAGATCTACACGTACTGGTGCCAGGATCAATATATTTTGTTGGAATCAGTCTCAATTTTCCATTTTATTTTGCTCTTGCAAAATAAGTCCAAGTTTCCATAAGGTGTGTTGAACTTCTGAGGAGAGCAAATTAAAAGGGTCTGCTGGATTCTGCTTTTGAATGTAATGTGTTTATTAAATCAGAGCAACAGTGCATGAAACATACTAATAGGGCTGTCAGATATAAAGAGATTATGGCTTTGATCAACCACCAGAAGATATATCTAAAACAGTGTGTATGTGTGTATGTGTGTGTGTGTGTGTGTGTGTGTGTGTGTGTGTGTGTGTGTGTGTTGCATCTATGTTCTCCTTCTTGGATCCTCTCTCAGGAAATAAAGGCTACATCAGAGGGACATGCGGCAGGGCTAAGGGATAGGGCTCTGGCCAAAGATAGAACAAAACGTATTGGTACGCACATGGATTGAACTTGCTGCCTTACAGTCATTGACATGTTCTTCCATCCAATGGAGCTAGACAGCCACGAGGCAATAAAATCCTAATCTGAGTTGCTTTAACTTATTTTGTATTTAGGTTGGTTCAAAAGTAATTGCGTTTTTTGCAATTAAAAGTATTGCAAAAACCGCAATTACTTTCATTTTCTTCCATTAAACTACATCAGTAGAAACAATTTCATAGTAGCTCATCTCAAAATATGAAGCATGTTCTTCATATACATTTGACTTATTAATCATCCTTTCACCAGAATTTAGATCACACGACATGTATGTGGTAACTCAAATGTTATTACAATGACATAAGCTATTGCTTAATGTGGGGTACTTTGTGTTAATACAGCTCTTAATAAATAGAAATAAAGAAGCAGATATCCAGACAGATTGAATAGAAAAGCCCTGAACACAAGCATAATTTACTTGTTCTGCTTTCATTTTGCAGACACATTTTCCTGTCCAGTGGCAGAAATGTAAATTATAAAGCCTCCACACAAAAATTTGTGTAGGGTTTCCTATAGTCTTAGTTTTATAAATAAACAGATGTCCAAGAGAGTCAAATCTTCTTTAGGCTTCTTTAGCAACAATTTCAATGAGAAACTACTTATAAGAGCCAATAAAGAAAAACTGAATAACAAATGGGGATTGCCCCTCTTTCTCTGACTTCTTTAACATTTTTCTCTTCCTTCTATCATTTTTTGAATATATATTTAATTCTCTACCTCCCATATGGATAAATGAAATTCAACATATTTTATAGATGATAACTACTGGGTAACTAAAGTATATAAATATTTTCACCAAATATATGTTTTTATTATTATTATCCTTCACCCAAGTACAGGGAACACATAGGTTCACTACCCCAGTGGGAGAGCATTAGATTTGCTGCTGAACCTTTCCCAAACATTCTGTGGCATTCAAGTGTGTGAGTAAGAAAAAAAAACTGGGGTACCTGGCAATATAATTGGTAAATGCTCATAATCAGCCTGCCATTTCATTTTTATCTTGAGAAAACAAACAAGCAAGTGAAAATCTCTCTCGTCCTTTCCTATTTAATTTGTTTTTATTTTTCTGCTTCTCTGCCAGTATACAATCAAGGACTTAATATTTTGGAAATGGTTCAAAATTCATCTACCCAAATATAGGTTAAGAAATGGTCCAAAATTTATGCATTCAAGAAAAGGCTTATGTATGCCCATAAAGTATGCCTTTAATCTAGGCTTATTTAAGTTTCTGGTGATGCAAATAGCACTTCAGAGAAAAATGGGCAAATGCAACATGTCATTCTGGTTGCAGAAATTAGAAAACTTTAATAAGGATTCTTTATCTAGTGTCAGCAAACCTCCATATCTGAGAGAATTTGAAGGACAAAAATATTGTCACTTGTCCAAGAAGAGAAGTCAGATTACTGTTTTATTCAAACACTTATATAATGTAACTGCATAAAATCTGTTGCCTGAATAAACTCCTCAGTTAGGTATTAGACTGTTATGTACAAAAAATTCTGTAAAGTTTACATAATCGCAAGAGAGCTGTGTAGATGTCACATAGGCCTTGATTATATTTGTCAGCAAGTTCATTTCCTCCAAATTTTTATTTTTTGGAAATTAAGGTACAAAACTTGATTTTTAAAAAATTATCTTGATGGTCAAGAAAAAAGAGTTTGGGATAGATAAAAGCGATGAGAGTAATTCTTAATACCAATGATTCCTGGACACCCTTTGGGGAAAATACTTGACATAGTTGACGAATAACATTAACGACACCCCCACTTCAAAGGACAGAGAATGTCACTAGCAGCTTTATTTTGCTGTGCACTGTTCTTTGAGAGTATTGGTTGCTTACTGATCCAAATTGCCTCTGTGTTGCTGTTATTAAGCTCTACAAGGAATGACTCATAATAGCTCCTTATCTAATGCTGTCCTACTGGGGTAATGAAGAGTTCAGTTCCAACCAATGGATCATGTTAAATTATTGTTTTCTTGGATATTGGGGCTACACTTTGCATAACAGGGTAGAAAGCCACTTTAAAAGCCATTAAACCAACTCATTCTCTGTTTCACTTGGAGCCTGAGTCATGATGCACCCTGTTGACTCATCCTTTACCAAGGGTTCAGCTTTAAGAAATGGCTAGTGGCCAAAAGAACATATTTCTGCAAAAGGGATGGTGTATCTGTGGTTTGCAAATTCCTAGGGCAGATCATATGATTCTAGGTTTAATATTTACTTTAGAGTAAAATTCTGTGATTCTTTCCCTCTGATTCAACTTTTTAAAGGACTGGGTCTACTTTTGTGTCTTTACCTCTGGGCCCTGGGTAAACAGAACTCTGTTTTACAAAGTTACCCAAAAAGTTCAATGAATAAATAAATAATGCTTCCTGAAGAAGCCACAGCTTAGAGGTCTATTAGGCAATAATGTAACCACTGGGCACATGTGACATAAGCAGACAGATGGACATGCAAACCAGCGAGCTCAAAATAAAACCAACTAATGAAAATAAATTCCTGAGTGTGTGAAGGGGCATTTTAGCTTCTTATTTCTCAGGTTAGTTTTCTAGAAAAATATATTAAATGCAACTGGAACCAGGGAAGCAATTTTTCTTTCAAATAAGGTGGAATTCAAGCAATGTTATGAAACCTTATCTGCATTTTGGCAGCACCTACAGAACCTTATATAATATTAATACCTGAGTCCCAGCTTCAGAGAGTCTTATATATTTGGTCTAGCATGCAATACGGGCATCAGGGGTTCTAAAATTTCCCCAGGTATTCCAACAGGCAGCCAAGGAAGAGAGCTACTGAAATAGTGAAGGGAAGAGAATATAAAACAGCAGGCAGAGAGAAAATAGATTGTGGAACTCACGGATTTAAGAAAAACATTTGTAATAACAAAAGCAAAACAACCTGGAACTAAGCCACATGTCATGTGAACAACGGGACTAATCAACTGTGTTATATTCATAATTCATAACCATGCCTTGTAGTTCAGTGGTGAAAAAACGAATGGTCTCCACCTATATAAACCTACATCAATGCATCTTACAAACATAAGGTTGATTGGGGGGAAAAAACACTTCAGGAGAAAACATTTTAAATGTTGTCATTTATGCAGTGTTCAAAATGTGCAAAATATCTGTTTTAGGAACACATTCATTTATTTTCAAGGTATTAAGGAAAGTGAGGGGCTCATGAATACAAAATTTAGGGTAGTAGTTACCTTTTGGAGAAGAATACTTGGGGGCTTCAACACGCTTGGTAATATTCTATGTTTTAAGTCGGGTAGTAAATATAATTTTTAAAGGGAAAATGTATCTATAAAACTTGTAATAATTCCTTTGTGATTTCTTTCATTTATTTCACCTTAAGAGCCTGTGACTCACAAAAGCACGAGTTAACCTAACAGAATGAAGATGTGTTAGTACAGTTTGAAGGTGTGACTGTAAACAGGGAAAGAAAATCAAAATGTTATATAAGGTGAGAGAATATGAACTAAAATGTAGCTCTCAGGAATTCTTCAGGAGTACTTGTCTCTGAAATTATTGGGGCAGAGGGTACAGAGAGACAAAGAGCAAGGAGAAGGGACAGAGAAAAGGAGAGAGCAAGGGGAGAAGAAGATTGAGTTTGCCTCATTTAAGCTGAAAATGAGGGAAAATCATTTTCAAGCTGAAAATACATTTCAACTCTTGAGTGACTGAATATAGTAGTCTTTGGACTTTGTAGTTAAGCGTTAGAGAGCCTGGGTGCAGATTTAACCTCTCCACGTCCTAGGTTTTCTTGCATGTTAAATGGCAATAATAATAGTCAAAAATGCAAAGCACTTGGACTAACACAGATAGATGTCCAATAAATGTTGGCTATTATTTTGTTTTTGCCATTCAGATGCCATTTGGCTCCATATCTTCTTACTCTTGTATCTTCGGTTTCTCCTAGGCCTACCTGGATGGAAAACTGAGAACCTATTGGTTTTGCCGAGAACTCTTCATTGAATATATTGTATGAGCATAGAGAAGGGTTTGCCATTGTATACCCCAAAGCACCAACTTAAACATTCTTAGCTATATTGCCCATTGAGCTTCCTTAATAATTCTACTATGGTAGGCATTACCCAGATTCTTTGACACCTGTCTTTTCTAGATAGGTCCTTTATTACACGTAACTTGTTCCCTTACAATGCCTACACCCAAAACATGCAAAGAAAATGGAATCAATGCATTCTATAAAGTAGACAATCAGTGTGGTCCTTGGACTAGCAGCATCAGCATCACCTAGGAGCTTTTTTGAAATGTAGACTCAGGCCTACTACAGCTATACTCAATCAGAATGTGCATTTTAAGAAATCCCCAAGTGTTTTCCATATACTGCAACGTTTGTCTTCACCATAAAATAGGATGGCCACACAGGAAAAGGAAGCACCATTACTCTCCTTTGAAGATTTCTCAGCTACTTTTTTTTTTTTTTTTTTTTACTTTAACGTACAATTGCAGTCTTAGTCACAACTCTAGATAACTTATCAAAACACTTTTTCTATAAAAATATAACAATAATATTCTTCACAAGAGGAATTCTGAAAAATAAAATTCTATCTGATATTCACCATTATTCGATAAATGAGAATTCTAAAAAATAAATTTCTATCTGATATTTATCATTATTTGATAAACCCACTGTAGATCCTTAAGGACTGAATAAAAGAATTACGAGCCATTCATTTTTCTTCCTCTCTCTGGCTCCTTCTTTCACTGACCCAGTGTCATCATCCTAGCCAAACAAGAAAGACAAACCTTCGAAGAAGAAGCAGCCTGTAAGTTTATTTTGTTCCCACTGATTAAAGCTATGTGGCAGCTTTACTTGCTGATCCTAATTGAGATGACTTGAAGTTTGACCTGTTTAAGGTATAAATATATTACTGGCAGAGAATGAAAGCAGAAAGTTCATTTCTAATCTCCCTAGGGTAGATAATCCTGTTTAGAGCGATTGTAATCAACCTTTCTTTCTGAAGAAGAAATATTGACTTAGAAGATTCTTTCTAAATAAGTCAATATATATCACCATCTGGTACCTGTATGGAGTTTTACTTTTGAGTAAACTTACCCTTTGGTTGTCTGTCATCTGCCTATTTCACCTTCTTGCCCTATATTTTTATCAATAATAAGATAATCTGCGGCTCACCAATAATCCAACAAAGAGTTTATCATTGAGCTAATCTTATATACTAAATGAAAAAAGGAAAATTAAGTCGCTGGAAGATAACCGTAAGAATAGTTTGCTTCTGGAAATATCAGATATGTACATTCTATTTTATCTAAGCAAATGAGGTGTTTTGTTTTGCTTTGATTTTTTTTTTTTTTTCTTTGGTTTTCCATTGATTCTGAAAATTATGGAGTAGGGTTTTTAGGTATTCTGAAATTCTTTAACCTACATTCTCGCTCTTCTGATGGCTATTTTACTGTATGATCATTACCTTCACTGCATCATTTCAATTTTGTTTTATGTATTGGAGCTTGAAACCAGGTTACTTTTATACAACACCCTTTCTTAAAGAGGCCATGCAGTATTCAGCTGCATGCTTGAATAAGCTGTTAGTTGTTTCTTTTTAAAATTTATTTATTCCAGATACACAGAAGCTTGTTGAATATCTGTGTACACAGCATTATATGTTGACTACGAAAGCAAACCTCTGTGCCTCTTTCATCCAGCCCATTCATCTGTGGCTGATGCTGCTCGAGACTAAGAGGGCGCAGGTGGCCTGAAGGTTCTCACCTTGCAGTAGAATTATTTTAATCCCTGGATCTTATTTTTTTCCACTGAGCTCCAGGATGACCGGCTGGTGGGAGGTGTACAAGGAAGGGAATGAGAAGGGTATCCTGGCAGTTTGCAAAGTCCTTGGTATCCTAGGACTTAACATCTAAATGAAGTGGGCTTTCAGCTCAAGCCCTATTTAAAAAGGAAAAAAAAATTCTTCTGCAGATGAAACAAATGCCAGATGGAAACTACTCTGCTGACTTTCTCCAAACAGGCCTGCAGCTGTTAATTCTTCCACAACTTTTTCCAGTGAAATTTTTAGGCTTCACCTGTTGACGGACATGACAGAATTTTGCTTCCCTCCCCCACTTCATCCCCGTCCTCTCCTCAACTTCCCCTGGAAAGGGGAGCAGCCTGAACTCCTAGGAAGCACAGCTCAGAGTGACAGCTTTGAACACACCCTTGTTATATCTTTTGCAGATGTAAATGGGGACATTTCCTTCGGGGCTGGAAGATTGTGGGTACTTCTAACTCTTGGTACATTGGGCCCACCGCTCAGGGGCCTAAGGCAAGCAGCAGAAAAGTAGACTCCCTTTTCCTCCTGGCTGTTTCTCTGTGTCACTCTTCAAAAATTATTTTTCATAACTTAGCTGAGGCTTTCTCCCAGGAGCTGAGTAATAACCACCATTTAGGTATAACAGAAACAGATATGGACCCTCCAGTTAGAACAAAATGGGAAAACCTGGGGTTATGAATCAGATCCCAGCTGTAAAGGGCAGGGTTTTTTTCAACTGCAATTGACTTTAAGGGAGAAAGAAGAACAAAAAAGATTCTAAGCAAGAAAAAAAGAATTATTTCTCCTGGTTTAGACAGATGACTACAGCCACACTGGTTTATATCACTGAGTATGGTTGCTTTTTTTAAAGATGATTAGTTCTATTGACACAGAATTTGATATTCAGAAATGATCTCCTAATAGATCTTCAAGCATCTGCTATCAGAGAAAAATGAGAGAGCATTGAAATACAGAGAACTGATAGATAACACACTAAAAACTAGCAATATAATAAAGTTAATTAAAACTCAAACAAATACTGGGTGCAAGCTATGTAACATTTCACATGCTGTTAATAGAGCCTACAATTCTATAATGATTTTCATGATAAGTCCCACTTAGATTTCTCTGGTTAACTCACTCTCTTTTGAATTGAAATAGTATTTCTAAAACTTTTTAATGCCTCTCAAATTTGTCATCACTGCCTCCCAATTCCTCAACCTTGGCTGGATGATCTTATCTCCTACCTCATGGACAAAGCAGAACCCGTAACACGGAAAACCTCTCATCACCCCTCCATCCACCATATGAATTCACATACATGCATAACTGTCTTATGCCATCCCCAGCCCCTTCTCTTCTGACAAATGGAAGGGCTGGCTTCACATACACCTGGTAACCTGTTCACTCCTCACCTTTCTAGCAACCTTACCTTACTAGGTTTCCCTTTTCTCAGATGTATGACCAATACCTCTGTGCCAACTGACTCATTCCCACCTACTTTTATGCATTATCATTTTCTATTAAACAACAAACAAAACTTCAAGTAAACATCACCCTTCCACTACCCACCTCGTTTCTTTTTGGCATTTGGGATTGGGCACCTTAACCCATCTCTCTGTGTGTCTGTGTGTGTGTGTGTGTGTGTGTGTGTGTGTGTGTGTGTGTGTATGTGATATATTAATATATATTACAAGAAATATTTGTGTCTTAAATCTCTTGACCATTCTTTACTTCTTAACTAAGAGCTCCTCAAGGGAGAAAGAATGAGTTTAGGAGAAGAACCTAACATGCTAGACTCCACATGACCACTCTTTACTTCTTACTAAGAGCTCCTCAAGGGAGAAAGGATGAATTTAGGAGAAGGAATCCAGCAGGCTAAGTTCAGCACCTGTATTAGTCTGTTCTCATGTCACTATAAGGAAATACCCAAGACTGGGTAATTTATAAAAGAAAGAGGTTTAATTGACTCACAGTTCCACATTCCTGGGCCGCAGGAAACTTACAATCATGGCGGAAATGGAAGCAACATGCCCTTCTTCACATGGTGGCAGAAGAGAGAAAAATGAGAACCAAGCAAAGGGGGAAACCCCTTATAAAACCATCAGATCTTACAAGAACTTACTATCATGAGAATAGCATGGAAGAAACCACCCCCATGATTCAATTACCTCCCTCCCATGAAAGTTGGAAATTATGGGAACTACAATTCAAGATGAGATTTGGGTGGGGACACAGCCAAACCATGTTATTGTGCCCCTGGTTCCTCTAAAATCTCGTTCTCACATTTCAAAACACAATCATGTCTTCCCAACAGTCCCCCAAAGTCTCAATTCATTCCAGCATTAACTCAAAAGTCCAAGTCCAAAGTCTCATCTGAGACGAGGCAAGTGCCCCTGCCTATAAGCCTGTAAAATGAAAAGCAAGTTAGTTATTTCCTAGATACAATGGAGGTACAGGCATTTGATCAATAAACCTATTCCAAATGGGAGAAATTGGCTAAAATGACGGGGCTACAGGTGCCATGCAAGTTCCTAGTCCAGTCAAAGCTTCAAAATGATCTCCTTTGACTCCATGTCTCACTATCATGAGAGTAGCATGCAAGAAACCACCCTATGATTCAATTGCCTCCCACCAGGTCCCTCCCATGACACATGGGGATTAAAGGAACTACAATTTAAGATTATATTTGGGTGGGGACATAGCCAAACCATATCAGCACCAAATAGAGAAGAATATAAACCACCGCCACAAACAAAAGACATAGCAGGAAGAAATGCTTTTACAGCTTTGAATATTCAAAAAGTGAAGACAGTGAATGTTTTATAATGCACATGCCAGAAATATTGGTCTTCAACAGACTCTAGGCATGAAAGCTGCAGATACAGCCCCAGCTGCCTGCCTTTGGGAATTCATGGGAGTTATTTTCTCTAGCCAAGCTGACTGTGGAGATGAAAGAAAACCTTTGCTTTTAGGTATGATTTTTTAGTTCTAGTATACATAGAAAAACATGGAACATCAGATCTTGTGGCACAGGTATAAAACAGCCTCCTCATAGGGGAAAAGTGCTGCACCAAGGTACCAGAAAGATGGCTTAGTTTCACAAAAAAGGGAACCTCTGTGATAAGGTTTGTCTGTGTCCCCACCCAAGACTCATCTTGAATTGTTGCTCCCATAATTCCCTCATTCTGTGGGAGGGACTCAGTGGGAGATGATTAAATCATGGGGGCCGTTTCCCCCATACTGTTCTTGTGGTAATGAATAAGTCTCATGAGATCTGATGGTTTTATCAGGGGAAACCCCTTTCACTTGGCTCTCACTCTTCTGTTGTCTGCCACCAAGTGAGACGTGGCTTACACCTTCTGCCATGATTGTGAGGCCTCCCCAGCCACGTGGAACTGTAAGTCCATTAAATGTCTTTCTTTTGTAAACTGCCCAGTCTCAGGTATGTCTTTATCAGCAGCGTGAAAATGGAGTAATACATTCAGTTAAAACCTGTTGCCTGCAGCAGCCAAAATTGCCAATCATCTTTGTAAATTTGTTATCTTAACCAGTCTATCATTTTCATATTAATAAATGGGGTTGATAATGACACTGCCTTCCTTATAAGGTCATACAAGGCACCTTAGTGACACTGCCTTCCTTATTAAACACATACAAGGCACCTTAGTGTCTGCCACCTATTAAACTATCAAATTCTAGCTATATTATTTTATATAATTGCTCCTTTAATCAAGGAAACAATATGCATAGAGTAATTTTATCAACCCTTTCCCACACACAAACTGTATGTAGTGTCATAATTAACAGAAGCATAAGAGATTTCTTCCAGGAGGTTTAATTCCAACTCATGAAAATGAGACAATTGACATAGTCCGACAGTAACTTGGTACATCCCAAAGAAACTGAAATGAATATATTTTTCCGTGTAACTCATACTGGTCTCCGTTATGGCATTTGACTATAGGAGTGTAGGTGAAATACTAACACTTTGTAATATCATTGCACTTTCTGCTCTAGGGCTTAGAGATTAGCTTGTTTTCTAGATTACATAAGGTTGCAGTCAAGTCTGTGTAACTTATTTCCTATTAACTCAGACAGCGTTGAGTCAGTGTCTGAAACACTGAAAGATCTGTACCCATTCCTTGGGAGGAGATGCTATGCGGCAACAGAGAAATAAAATTCCCTATCAAAATAAGTTATATTCCCATTGAAGTAAAACCTTCTGGCCGCGGCTGGGCACAATAAGATAATTTTTAGTGTAACTTCATTTAGTAGGATATTGACCTATGAGTTATGAACTTTATCTCATATTTGGGCTTTTATATATCCTGATGCACTTTAAAATGAACGAGAGTTTATACTGAAATTTTGGAAGCCTTTATGCGGATGCATTATATTGTACATCTCTATTCTGCCATCAAACTTTATTTCATAATCTCCCTTGAGCTTCAGACAATATACCTGGAAAAACTTAGGTTGGGAAACAAAGGATGAAATGATTTGCATTTATTTTAAAAATAGTCTTAGAAATTAATAAAGAAAAGACAAAAAACCCAAGGGAAAAGGTACTTCACTAAAGAAGATATTAAATGATGAATACACATAGGAAGATGAGTTTAACTTTATTAGTCATGAGGGATATGTAAGTCAAATTCGTAATTGAGATACCATTATGTACCCACCAGTATGTCTAAACTTTAAAACTTATTCTCAATACCAAATATTGACTGGCATGTAGAACAACTGGTAGAAGTACATACCCTACTTTTGGGCAAGTAAGTTGGTACAACCCCATTGAAAAACTTCATGGCAGTACCTATTAAAACTAAACATAAGGACCCTATCGGACCTGGTAATTTCATCCCTAGGTATACAACAACACAAATCAAGCATATGTTCACTGAAAGATGTCTACAAGGATATTCGTAGCATTACTATTTCTAATAGCCCCACACTAGAAAAAACACAACAGTTATTTTTTTAGCCTTGACCAAGGCTGAATCTTCAAAGTATCAAACAAAATGCTTTCAACTTTAAAACCCTCAGAGACTTCACTTTATCTCTCTACAAAGTCTTATAAAGAGAGAACAAGAAATGAGTTTCCTGTCTTGTATAATCACATCATCAATAAAGTAGTCTTGCCAAAATCATCAAACCAGAATCTTATCAAGTCTATGCACCCAACCCAACCACCAATATTTAGGAAATAAAAAGGGACATATTAAATTTCACCATGGAAATACCATCATCCAAATCAGGGCTATGGAGAACTGTACAGATCAGAGATCTGGTTTCTTCAGCAACTAAAATTTAAGTAAAAAAGAAAGATAAAGTTCGTCTTACCAATTCCCTAGGCTAAACAGTTGTTTTGTGTGTTTTTCTGTGTCAGTGTTATGTTACATAGTAAAAACACTGTTAAAAATCTGTCACTGTGCTAGTCTCTGGGGATGCAGAGATAAATTTTTCAAGATCCTTTTCCTCAAAGGGAATGTGAAAATGTAATCACTGAGAGTAACATCATGTTATAGGTTCTATAAAGCATGCTGTTCAGGACACAAGAGGGAGGATCCAGTTATCTAGGAATACAGACAACACATAGGTTGCCTCCATAGTAACCTGGTTATAATTCAGATGAAATTGAGGAACACAAACTAAACTATTATGCAATCCCATTTCCCAGGTACATCAATGACACGTACTCTAATCAATCTCTAATGATCCCACAGGCAAGGACCATATAGACAGAACTGATATGCCTCTCAAATTCTATCACACGTAGAGTATAACTTGCCTGTCTACAAGCTCAATTGCAGTTAATTATAATTTCCAACTGCGGGCAGTAGATGTGTGTCTAGAATTCTCTTCTCCCGTTTTTTTGTTTTTCTTAACTGCTTACTTTAATTTTCCGTGGGTTTAAAAATGTAAGACTTTAGTGAAAGGACTTTTTAACTCTCTGTCTATTCTAAATGTCTATTCTAGACAAATTATATTTCTGTTTGCCAGCAGTTTTGTAAACGTGACATTTAGGTCATTTTATCTTTTTAACTATATTTTAAATGAGAATATTCTTACTACCACATTCTTGTGAGTCACTTAACACTTTGAAGTTTCCTTAAGACATATCTTTAATTAATGCCATGTCAGAATTGACAATGAATGGAATCACAGTTTTAAAATTGAACTCAGAAGAGATTGTTTTGATTCTCTATTGTTTTGAGAAATATTCTACCTACTAACTAAACTCCCCAAACGGTCATAGTGAAGAGAGTTAGCCAAGGAGCTGTATTCAAGGAGGTTCGGTAATTTGTCAAGGGTGAAACAGGAAATCTACAAAAGTCCTATGGCTGCCTTTGTTCTTTCACTCAGTAAATATCTGAAAGACAAGTACGGTCCACATTTATAACTCTGGGACTAAGTACTAGCAATATAATTATGAAAAGCAAACTTGCAAACACACACATGCACATATACAGACTCTGCTCTCTAAAAACATGGCATCAGATGAGGGTTGCAGAGTGGTAAGTGGACAATTATGTTGCCACATATTCTGAACTCATGGAAACAAACCCTGGAAACACACCCAAGATAGCACCTTTGTGGAATGTCTGTAAGGCATACAACACAGAGGCGCTGTATGGCTGCAGAAAAATAGGACACAGTCCTTGGTCTCCAGAAACTTATACATTTGGGAGATAAAAGAAAGTCAGGAAGCAGCAATTAACATTTCAGAACAGTACAAGATAAGTGTAAAGCGAGTGCTAAGACTTTTTGAATGTAATCAGAATTCATAGAAGGGAGCCCCTGGTCTCTTATAAAGATTTAGGAGAGGAAGTAAGACTTAGACTTGTGATTGAGTATGTGGGCAACAGATGAGGACAATAAGGCCAATGGCTATGTATAGAATTATGAGGTTCCAGTTCCTGGCCATTGGGACAGCTGATTTGTTTTCATTTATCATTATTTTGATTTCATGCTATTAAAACCATAAATAGCATTATTGACTTGAGTAACATGAGGTATGTTCTAGGTGTCAGTTAATGGACACAATATTTGCAAGAGTAGGACTCTCTTACTAATTCTCCAAACTGCAGAGATGGCATGCCATGTGTACGTAATAGCCTTAATGTGTTCAGGAAAATATTATTGGATTAAAAACCAGACATTTTTAATTTAATAGAGCTACAATAGAAAGAGTCACAAATGACTCACCCAATTGCCTCTTCATGGCTCAATGTTCATTTAACACCAATAAAAAAATAGTAAAACATTATACATAGAATTTAACCTAAGTGCTTTACAAATGAGCATTAGAACAGGTTTTAAAGATAATTCAGGGGGACATCAACTGAAAGACTATATAAGCACTTTGGAGAAAAAGTAAGACAAGGGAAAGGAATTATGACTGAAATGCAAGCAATTAAATACTGCAGTACTCATTTGGGCATATGGACTTAAATATGCTGCAGGTCCTTCCATCTGGATTTTAATAAGCTTTGAGTTATTGCCAATAAAATACCAAGAAGGCCCCTTCCGGCATTCATGGGCATCTGCCCACATGGTTTAAACAGGCAGCTGATGGGTTACAGTTGCTATTGAGGGCAAGATAAAGAAGGATGCCAACATTTCAAAGTGGACAAAGGTTTCACAAACTTTGCCTAGCTACAGCTTTTAACTGGACTCTAGCCTCAACTAAAATTATTTGCTTGGGTATCATTTAAAGTAATTCTACAAGACCGAATCCTTTCTCACATTTTAAGTGGACATGTTCACATGTTCAACTTGTCATCTTAAGTTTGAGTAGTAGTATAGAATATATTTTTTGTAAATATTGGTATTTTAATTAACAGTCTATCCCCACTCTTTTAATTTAATGTATGGAATATAAATTCCAAAGTGATTTGATAAGCATCTTTAAGCAGTACATGAAGTAGCCTTTCTATATCTTGAAATATGATATAACTTTTTGCTGCTTATATTCATATTTTTGTTTCACTTCCCCAAGATAATTTTATTCTAAAATTCAATAGTTTGTTCTTTTGGTTTTATTTTCACCATTTTAGAGTGTGTATAGTAGAATTGCATGGTGATTGTAATTTGTATTCCCCTCGCTATTAAGTTTTATTATTTTTTTAAAAATTGGTGAATTATCAAAAGTTTAATTACTACATTATTTTTACATATTTTATAAAAAGTCACTGTTATTGCATATATGTGATAATTTTTATATTGAAGTCATTGACATCCCCCCAAAACCTTTACTATTTAGCTTTTCATGCATTTATATATGTATGTACGTAAACACCAATAGATATTTACAATTCAACTCTCAAATCATCTCCAGGCCCTACTTTATTTTTCATTTCTGATATTTAAGAATGACCTCAGGGTGAATACCAAGATGCAATGAAGGTACTGGTTTCAAGCATCATTTACTGACAAAAAGAAAATTAAAATGGTAATTCGTGGGCTTATGAAAAAGGTATGAAGTTTCAAAAGTCCAAATATCAAATGTCATGTTTTGTCATCATGCCCTTTGAAATAAAGGCAAAGTAGATTTGTTAAAATATACAGCATTTAAACGTAATTCATCTCTTTGTGGATTAAACAATGATTCCAATTCAGCAGCCTTGAGTTTTGATTGTAGCTTTGTCACTGGTTAAATTGTTTAGGCATCAGGTTTATCCATCCGTAATATGAAGTACTGGAGGTGCTGACACTGCCAATCAGCAGATAGCATCAGCTCTACTCACATATTGTGAGGCCTTAGAGGTCATATGGACTAAGTTTAGCCTGCTGGAAGGCTTCCTTCCTGCCTTTCCTTCTAAGGAACACTCAACATTTTTTATAAATTAAATCTGGAATATTTATTTATCAATACACTGTATGCTTTATCACATTTAACAAATTTAGTATTTGTAAGAATTCCATTTATTTTCCAAAGAAATGCTTTTCTGGATTAATGTTTCGCATTTCTGGAACCCACACTATATAAACCCACTAAAATAGTTCTAAAAGAGACTGGTTGGAACAGAAACTACCATATGGCGAATGGTGGGGGAGAAAAAAAACAGAACTAAAAACTAGCCATGGCTTAAAGAAAAGGTAAAGCAGAAGAGACATAAAGCCATCTTCAAATATTTGATAGGTTAATATATGCAAAGTAGATTAGACTTACTTTTATTGCTAGGGTACATGGCTCTGAGGACAACAAAATTCATGGCCATGGGTTAGATTTATAGGGATATTTGATGTAAATAAGATATTTTCAAGAAATATTTTCCAATCATGTTTCCTTTCCTTGAAGACCTTCAAGGAAATGATGAAGGGAGGTTGTCATCACATCTATGGGATTGGTGAAAGAATCCTGCCTTTTGGAAGGTGAACTATTTGTAGCAAGGACTAGAGATCCTGTTTGCCTAATTATTCCTGGTTAAATGACCAAGGGACCATATACCCATCAAAAGTCCTCAAAGAGATCAAGGGGCTGATTCTCCTTAGAGCCATAAGCCCTACTGCAGGGATAGCATATTTGTTTTGTTTACCATTATTGTATTAAGCATACACTGTTAAAATGGGTAGAATGAATAAATGGTCTCCAATGGCTATTCAACTATGATGCTCTGTTAATTTATGAATTATGTTTAAAAACATCCACTGGCACTTTAGCAGACCTAGAAGAATGGAGAACATAATTTTAACCATAAGCTTATGGAAAAATGTATTTCAAATAATTCAAATCAGAAGTGCAGAGTTAGAATATATTAAATCTATCTGCAAACATAAATTCTGAGTTAATCTGGCACCTACAGAATGATGACCTGGATGAACGGTTATGAGTTGAAGTGTGTGCCCAACCAAATTCACAGGCTGAAGTCCTAAAACACAGTACCTAAGAATGGGCTTTATTTGGAGCTAGGGTCTTTACAAAGATAATCAAGTTAAAATGTAGTCATTAGGGTGGGCACGAACTGGATATGTCTGGTGTCTTTGTAAAAAGAGAAAATTGGAGCATAGAGGGAAAACAATGAGAAGAGACATAGAAGATGGCCAACCAGCCAAGGAGAGAAGGAACCAATCCTGCCAACATCTTGCTTTCGGACTCTAGCCTCCAGAACTGTGAGACAGTAAATTTCTGCCGGTGAAATCACCCAGTTTACAGTATTTTGTCATGGTAGTGTTTGCAAAGGAATACAGACTGTAATATCAAACTCTATGATTGACCATTAAATAAGAATTTTTTGCCAAGCGCAGTGGCTCACGCCTGTAATCCCAGCACTTTGGGAGGCCGAGGCGGGCGGATCAACTGAGGTCAGGAGTTCGAGACCAGCCTGGCCAACATGGTGAAACCCTGTCTCTACTAAAAATACAAAAATTAGCTGGGTGTGGTGGCAGGGGCCTGTAATCCCAGCTACTTGGGAGGCTGAGGCAGGAGAATCGCTTGAACCGGGGAGGCAGAGGTTGCAGTGAGCCGAGATTGTGCCATTGCACTCCAGCCTGGGGGACAAGAGTGAGACTTCGTCTCAATTAAAAAAAAAAAATTTTTTTTTAGAAATAAATGTTTGTATATATTCACATTCTGAAAAATCCTTCTAATTTCATCACTGTGGATGGAATCTATGGTAAGATCAAGAAGAATAAAATGTGATTATAGAGTTTATTTCTAAATGTGGACTAAAAAACTCATACAAGAGTGAGGTAGGCATTGAGGCAAAGGCATATGGGAATTTTGATTTCTGTATTACAAGTGGGGCCTAAAGTGTTCCATGCAGGGTTTAGCATATACAGAGCAATATGTGAGAAGGAAAACTGAGTCTGCCTCAAAGTCAGTACTCTAGGCCTACCTAATTCTCTACTGGCTTATCCACACAACCTGCAACATGTCCACTCCCACTGTAGCAGAGCAACCCAAGTATCACTATAAGTCCAGGCTCTGGATGACAGCATCCCAACAATTTTAAAATTCTTGCAGAGATAAGGTAAAATAATAACCACAAACATTTTTTGGACAAAACTGGCATAAATGAAACAAAGGTATTTATAAAATATAAACAATTTGAAATCTAGAAATAAAAATTGCAGTCATTGAAATAAAAGACTCCATAGATGGCACACTCTCGAAAAGACATTTTCAAAGAGAAAATCAGAGAACTGAAGAATAGTGTGGATAAATTCACCCAAAATTCAGGACAGTTATAAAGAATGCTTTAAAAAAATTATTAAAGACACAAAAGAGAGAATTGAAGCCAATAGATAAATTTATACATGTATACATGCATAATACTCAGACAATAAGATTTCATGAAGAGAAAATAGAAATGATGGGAGAAGCAAAACTCAAAGATATTTGTTAACAATTTCTAATGAAACTGATATTACAAAATAGGCCATTGTAAGGACTATAGCACTGTCTAAAAGGATTATTCATTAATAAATTCATTATTTTTTTAAAAGCTGGGTGAGCCAAACAAAATAGGAATGCTAGACAAATTTGACTAGATCACTACCAGTTTTCAAAACCTTCAGTAAATACCACTACTAAAGAATAAAAATAGATGATGAAACCATACAAGCCCCATAAAAGTTCACCATAATTAATAGAGTAATAGCTCTTAAATTTCAACTTGAGTTATTCTAAATGCTAGAGTCTTTTTGAAATCATAAATATGCTCAGTTGTTGATAGAGAGCCTTTACTTGTATAGCATCGGCAGGAACATTTTGAAATACTGTGAATCTGTTTCAGACATGCCACAGTGTGTGATATTCGCAGTAATGCACTACACTTATCGCAAATGCCCAGGAGTCTAAGAAGCTGATTTGTTGTTAAGGAAACCCTCACTAAAGAGTTCTTTTTCTCTCCTTTTTTTCCCTCTACCCCCACCTCCATTACATAAAGGAAGAGGAACTTAGCTACTGGTCATGAACTCTGTGTAATAAAACAACTCTGAACTTTTGTCCCAACTGTCTTCATTCATGAGTGTAATTTATGTGTGTGTCACCGTCACCAGTAAGGTTTAGAGATTTATAGATTGCAATTTACATCATATCGGTTTTATTTTCCTTTAGTTTAATTTTTTCTCATAACAAGGAGTAAAGCCAAAGAAAAAGTAGAGTTTTAACAGAAAATTTGGGTCAACCCCAAATTCCTAAAATGAACTTCTAAACCAAAAGTATATATTTAAACTACTCATGTGTGAGATTCCAGATTAAGTAAATTCCTTACCATAGCTAATATGCATATATATATATATAAGTTCGTTTTCACGCTGCTGATAAAGACATACCCAAGACTGGGAAGAAAAAGAGGTTTAGTTGGACTTACAGTTCCACACGGCTGGAGAGGCCTCAGAATCATGGGTGGAGGTGAAAGGCACTTTTTTGTTGTTGTTGTTTGAGACGCAGTCTGGCTCTTGTTGCCCAGGCTGGAGTGCAGTGGCGCCATCTCAGCTCACTGCAACCTGCGCCTCCCAGGTTTAAGTGATTCTCCTGCCTCAGCCGCCTGAGTAGCTGGGACTGCAGGCGAGAGCCACCATGCCCCGCTAATTTTTTTTTTTTTAGTAGAGACGGGGTTTCACCATACTGGCCAGGCTGGTCGTCAACTCCTGACCTCAGGTGATCCGCCGGCGTCGCTCGCCACGGCCTCCCAAAGTGCTGGGATTACAGGGGCCAGGCGGGGCAAAAGACACTTCTAACGCGGCAGCGACAAAAGAAAATGAGGAAGAAGCAAAAGCGGAAACCCCTGATAAACCCATCAGATCTCGTGAGATTTATTCCCTATCACGAGAATAGCATGGGAAAGACCGGCCCCCATGATTCAATTACCTCCGCCTGGGTTCTTCCCACAGCATGTAAGAATTCTGGGAGATACAATTCAAGTTGAGATTTGGGTGGGGACACAGCCAAACCATATTAATATGTGATCGTGATTAAGCAATATAGTTTGTCATTTTTTTCTTTATATTTAAAAGCAGTCAGCCCAGCCCAGGTGCAGTGGCTCACACCTGGAATCCCAGCACTTTGGGCGACCCAGGCAGGCGGATCATTTGAGACCAGGAGTTCAAGACCAGCCTGGCCAATATGGTGAAACCCTGTCTCTACTACAAATACAAAAATTAGCTGCATATGATGGCATGCACCTGTAATCCCACCTACTTGGGAGTCCGAGGCGGGAGAATCGCTTGAACCCAGGACGCAGAGGTTGATGTGAGCCAAGATCATGGCACTGCACTCCAGCCTGGGCGACAGAATGAGACTCTGTCTCAAAAAAAAAAAAAAAAGTAGCCCATCTGTAGTTCTATAGAAAAGATGAAGGACTATAGTTTTAGTTCAAGTTTAGGAAATTACCACATTTTGTTTTTAAGATTTACAGACTTTTATTAAACCAAAACATTTGCAATTATAATCTATAATCTGAAAGATTAAAACATACATATCAGATCTTATTTATTTTTAAATAATTTATAAATTTCCTCTCTGAGAGAAATGCCAACTAAAAAAAAAAAAAGAAACTCATTTGGCTTTAACTAATTCAAACACTGTGAGACACAGATTTTTAGTTGTAACTCTAAACACATGAATTTTGAGTAAGTACTAAATTTGGAGAATGCAATTTTAGTAACAACAACAACAAAAAAGCTTTGCCACAGCCAAATCTTCCCACAGTGCAAAATGAATCCATTTTGCTTCTCAAATAGCCTAGCCCATAACTTTGTAACTGGGAGAGAAACTTCAGATTCTGGGCAATTAACACTGACAGTTACAGTTTACATGACATACACTACTACATCTATATATCTCTTTGAGAGGATTACTAGTTGAACTGAATCAGAGTTCAACTTAAGATGGAAACTCATTGCATAGTTGTCATTTTTCTAATATTGCAAGAATTACCTGATAGGGTTGATGTCTAGAGAGTTAAGTATGTTTGTTAGATAAATCTACATTTACATGCTAATAAAACAAGTGTGAACACCTTCACGCCCACTAGATGCATAGTAGAAATATAAGATAACGTGGATATATATAGGCACATATATTTGAATGCGTATCTTTTCATCTTTTAAAAAATACATTTTACTGCTTAGGATTAAGAAGAACCAACCTTCGGTATGAGCAAGTGGGGCCCAAGCTTGAGCATTGAACTTCAGATGGTTTTTCAGGGCATAAGTGCACACATAGAATTCATTTGCAAACACATGAGTGCCTGACTCAGAAGCCGGATCCAACAGACACAGCACTCTCTCTGGTCCTAAACATTTGTGCCCATAACTAACACCTTTCAGACCCCACAAAAACACATGTCTGCATCTTCTGTACTCTGTTCTTGTATTTAAAGTCCACTAAGTCAAAATGCAGTGATCTTTGGGTTTGGGCCAAAATCAATGTAAGGGACAGAGGCTTCCTCAGAGAAGAGAGTGATTGAAGGGCAAAATTCTTCAAAAAGAAGACAAAGTAATTATGTAATTATCTTACCAAATCTGCCTTTTGAGATAGTCGGAGAGCAATAAATTGTTGGATTAACAAAGTAGCCTTTGTTTAGTAGTGCTGAGATTCCAGTTTTTCACTTCTCATCCTCCAAATCATGACTCTGCAGGTATTCACAACAGCTGCGTAATTCTAAAAGTTATCATACTTTGAATTTCTGTTAATAAATATCTAGATCTAGTAAAACAATGATGAATCTTAATGACAATTCTTTACATGTCAAATAAATAGACATTGAATGCTCAATTCTTCATACTTTTATAAAACAAATTTAACAAAACTTAAATTTTCAAAAGATAAATTAAAATTTCATTTGTTTAAATGATTCTGATTTTAAGTTGTAATATTTACTAATTATAATTTGTATTTTACCTTTTAATTTTATATATGTTTCTGAATATTTTAGAAGAAAAATAACTTTCAAAAACGTTTAAGACAATGTTGTTTAAAATATATTTTGGATTGTGTTAATATGAATATAGTTCTTAATTATTAAAATAATTATTAAGTAATAAAAACACTTTAAAATACAAAAGATTTTTATATTTTAAAATATAAAACACAAACTTTCACTGCATTTACATATAATTTATAAGACTTTAAATCATATTTATCAATAGTGTATCAATTAGGTGAAAGTATTGATTATATAAACATAATAACTTTTTACTAGAATGAAAGCAATAAAAATAAATGTTATTAAAATGCATAATTATTTTTGAATTATATGTATCTTTATTACATTACGCAAAGATTGCTAGCTTATGAATAGAACAGCAGACATGTACAGTAATAAGTAAATTGACTCATCTTTCGTATTTTGCCAACTTTCAGTGATATAAAAGCTAAATCTTTGAACGCATCTTTCAATTTTGTAATTCTGAAGATATATTCGTCAAGAATAGAGGATAGAACAGATTCTATTTAACAGTTTGTTAGCTTGATATGTAACTTTTAAATATTTGACATATGGTATGTGGGCCTCCTTTCTGCTCTTGCTCCAGGCCCTGTAAATGTTAGAAACAATCCTGATATTAAAGATCTAGAGATTATGTCTAAAGACTAGTACTTAAAAATGTATAAGCCAGTTTCATAACCATATCATGTGGTCAAGCAACGGGAGGGCATGCCTGTTCTTCCACAGAATTATGACATTTGAGTATGTTATATTATTATTTATATTATACTAATATAACATATTAGTATATTATTTATGCTATTTTAGTTTTTGCAAAATTAGAAAAAGTCTTACAGCACATTCCAGAATACACCAGTCATAGAGCAGGTGCCACATCTTAAGGAAAATCACCAAATCTCCAGAATTCTTTCTATTTGGGATAACCTGTTTGTGTCTCCACATTTACTCTCTACTGTTTATCTGGCTTGTTGATGAGCACTTAGATTGATTCCATATCTTGACTCTTGTGAACAATGCTGCAATGACCGTGAGAGTGCAATGCAGATATTTCTTTCTTCCTTTCTTTTTTTTTTTTTTTGAGACAGAGTCTCGCTCTGTTGTCCAGGTTGGAGTGCCGTGGCACGATCTCGGCTCACTGCAACCTCCGCCTCCCGGGTTCACTCCATTCTCCTGCCTCAGCCTCCCAAGTAGCTGGGACTACAGGTGCCCACCACCACGCCTGGCTAATTTTTGTATTTTTAGTAAAGACAGGGTTTCACCATGTTGACCAGGATGGTCTCGATCTCCCGACCTCATGATCCGCCCGCCTCAGCCTCCCAAAGTGCTGGGATTACAGGAGTGAGCCACCGCACCCAGCAGATATTTCTTATACTGACTGATTTCTTTTCCTCTGGATACGCACCTAGTCGTGGGATCGCTGAATCACATGATTGTTCTGTTTTTAATTTTTAAACTCCCCCATTTTTAATTTCCTCTAATTACCCAATTTGCATGTATTAACTCTCTCCCACCAGCACTCTGATTAATATACTTTCTAGTAACATAGGTGTGACCTTGACCGTTATCTTTTAGTTTTTAAGCTGTGATTCATTGTCCAAGTCACAGGTCTTACATGTTCTACAGATAATTTAAGAACAAGAGAATAGAATGTCTCTTTGTAGCATATGCGCCTTAAACATTTTTCAAGCCAGTTCTCTTTGGGGAGTGCTCTAGCACTGAGAACAGAGTCTGTCCTTTACAAGCACTTAAATAGTTATTGAATCAATAGTAAAGACAAGACAAGATCCCTCATAATGAAGGGTGAATGCTGCTTCCTTTCCTGAGTCAGTTCCTTTCATATAATGAAGGGTCTCCATGTCATTTTTCATCCTTTATATGGACATGGGTGATTATGGTATAGGGGAGGGAAAGAAACTGGTGGAAGAGAGATGAAAGTAATTGAAGGGAACATTTAAAATGCATCGCATCGAAATGTTTGTGAAAAGCCTATCTTTCAGAGATTAGGATTTGAATATTGTCTGATTCTCAAACCATGGTGGTTTTAAATAGTGTACACGTTATATATTTCCTGGTCTTCATATTACTTCATTGTAAATTATTAATATGAGGCTAATTCATTTAGAGGAAAGGTAGGTGCCTTTCATTCCTCTATTAATTTTTCCCGTTACCTTTTCATTGTTCATGCTTAATATCATTGAATATGTTAAATGAGACAATTATGTAATTTATATTTTTCTGTACAACACCCCTGGGCAAATCACATTTTCAAATAGAGTCATGCATGGTAACTTCAGTATATATTAATAATATATTTTATTTATTTATTTATTTATTGAGACGGAATCTCGCTCTGTCACCCAGGCTGGAGTGCAGAGGTGCAATCTCGGCTCACTGCAGCCTCTGCCTCCCTGGTTCAAGTGATTCTCCTGCCTCAGCCTCCTGAGTAGCTGAGATTACAGGTGCATGCCACCATGCCTGGCTAATTTTTTGTATTTTTTGGTAAAGGTGGGGTTTCACCACATTGGCCAGGCTGGTCTCAAACTTCTGGGCTCAAGTGATCCGCCTGCCTTGGCTTTCCGAAGTGCTGGGATTACAGGCACCAGCCACTGCACCTGGCCAAAAATATATTTTTATTAGCAGTTTTATCATCATTTTTCCCTAGAATTTTATATTTTTATATTATTGGTATATAAAAAGTTAAAATATAAAGGATCTCCTTAGCAAGTAGTCTTTCTATGTTGCCTAAGCCATTATTTTCTGATTTTATATTTGTGAATTATTCTTCCTATAACTTTTACCTTTTTATTTTTCTTGTTTTCTTTCTAGCCTCTTTAGATAAATGTTTCTTGAATTATTTTCATTTTGTGATTAATAAGAGTAGTTGAATTACTTAACGTTGTAAATTCTAACCTTGGCTGTAGCCCACAGTGTTCAAATTGCTGCTAATTACTAAATATACTGTAATTGCAAATTTAATTTTCTCAGGAATCCAAGATTTATTTACAAGTGTTTTCTAATTTCTAAAAACTTGAGGAGAAGTTGTAACCTGTTTGTTTGTAAGGTCTAAGTGCATTACAATTTAATCAGAGAACGCTGGTTACATTTTGCTTTAATATATTGACTGCTTTTAGGCCTTTAATACGTTCCACTGATCAAATTCTGTGGACATAGTAAAAGCTTATATATGTGTTATTGAGCTTTTTAGAATATATTATTCTGATTCATTCTTCCTTTCCCTGAAGATTAGGTACCTGTTCATAGATAGGTATATATATGGATAAATATATGTGTGTGTCTCATCTGTGGGTTTATATATTTCATGTACTTCATCTGTTGAACACTTAAATGAAACTTTAGCAGTGAAGACTTCCCTGATTCTTCACTGATAAAACAGAAGCCTCCCTGACATCTCTATTTCCTTTATGCTGCTTCATTTTTCTCCTTAGCATTTATCTCAACTGCTATTTAAATTCTTAATATTCTGTGTTCCCCTCCTAGAATGAATATGGGAGCTTGATTCCTCAGCAGCTAGTACAGTTTAGCAGGTGTTCAAACACATCTGTTGTTTTGTTTTATTGTGTGTTTGTTTTGTTTACTGTTTATTGCTAAATGAGAGAATGCAAGCCAACTCATTATTCAACCCATAAACTTAGGTAACTATTAATGGGAATTCAGTTAATAATTACATAAAATCCTTTTATAACAGGAAATATTCATCTAAATCTTCTATTATGAACTCTCCTCATGTGGTTAAGTTGGTTCAGTTAGTAAAAGGCTTGTTTATGCTTTTTTCTATTTCAACTCATATTTAATTAGGTATAAATCTATTTGGCCTCATTTTTATTTCCTTGATAGCTTCAGCATTGTCTGTCTTCGCAATGACTTCAACATTTTTAAATGGTCAGACCCATCGAAACTTAAAACTTCTTTTTACTCTGACTCCTTTCTTGTGTGCAATAGTATCTCAATCATTCAGTGTGGAAGACAGCTATACTCTTTTACCTGCCAATAATGGTTTCTTCCTTCTTTTGATATATCACCATTCCGTAATTCTCAGCCCATGCAATCAGGTGGGACTAGGCTATGACACCCCTTCCAGCCTGAGTTCCCTTAGGAAACCATTTTTCCAGACCTGGCCAACCAGCATATGATGTGTCATTACTTGTAAGGATTAAGCAGTTACCCTGCCTTCCACAAGCAGATTAATATGAGGTACACTTGGAGAGTAAAGTGTTAGGTTATGCAGTAGCTAATGGAATTGAACATCACGTAGACAATTATACTTTAGGGCTGACTATGATTAAAAATTTAAGAACTCAGTCCAGGACTTCACTGAAAGGGTAATAGAACTACAAGGAGAATGAAAACACAGACTTGCCAAGTCCTCTCTGATAAGGTCAGGTTCATGTAAGGAAAAGAGTGGGGCTCTGAAATCTCGCTTGGCTCTAGGAGTGGGAGAATCATGATTTCCCAGATTCTCCCGAACTCTCCCAGGCAGTTAAAACAGCTCCTTCCCCTTTTGTAGAAGACAGCAGCCTCCCCTTGCCTGGAGACAATGCAAAGACCACACCTAGAGTGAGGTCATGTAAGGTCATAAAGCCTTTTCTCACCTTTATCCATGGCCTCCAATAATTAGAGTCAGGTCTTAGCATAGACTGAGGAGGGAGATACAATCCCTACTCTAGAAGGAAATGCAGTATACAACAAAAGAATGACAGGACCTGGCTCACCTGGTCCAGGAGAGCATACATAGGAGTGGAAGGATGTTAGATTGAGACATTGGCAGAATGTAAGGCTGGACAAGAGATAACTTATTAAAGCATTCTCCTGACACTTTTAGTTTAAAATCCTGGCAAAAATAGCCAGAGGAGCCAGGTGCGGTGGCTCACGCCTATAATCCCAGCGCTTTCGGAGGCCAAGGTGGGTGGATCACCTGAGGTCAGGAGTTTGAGACCAGCCTGACCAACATGGAGGAAGCCCATCTCTACTAAAAATACAAAATTAGCCGAGCATGGTGGCACGTGACTGTAATCCCACCTACTTGGGAGGCTGAGGCAGGAGAATTGCTTGAACCCTGGAGGCAGAGATTGCAGTGAGCCGAGATTGCGCCATTGCACTCCAGCCTGGGCAACAAGAGCAAAACTCCGTCTCCAAACATATATATATACGCATATATACGTATATACACATATACGCGTATATACGTATATACACGTATACGCGTATATACGTATACACACATATACGTATATACATATACACACATATACATATATAAATATATACATATACATATATACATATATATTTATACACACATATATATACATGTATATACACACACACATATATACATATATATATACACACACACATATATATACATATATATATAAAGCCAGAGGAGTATATTCTGGCTGCCAGAATGTCTCCTTGAAGCTTGGACATTGGAAAGATCAAAGGTAAATGAGATGGATATGCCACTGTGACTTTGGCAGAAGAAGGGGTCAAAAAGCTCCTTAGAGTACGGGTATGTTAAAATATATTTATTAGGTGAGAGGAGAGTGTTCACCACGTGACTATGTCCCCAGGGGGAGCCCAAAGGACATTCTCTTTACTGAGTCATTAGAGAATGCACGAAAAAGGGATCCCTGGTATCTTTAAGGTGATTGCTGGGATGGATGGCTTCTTTCCAGAACTGGAAGGAGGGAATGCTAGAAATCTGACCTCTTTGGGGCTGCACTGCTAATAGAGGCCAGGTGGATGTGATCAGTACAATGATAATGAGGACAAAGTGGCAATCACATTACCCTGAGCCAAAGGTATCTATGGTAATGACTAATAGGTCAGTGTTCCAGGATGAGATAGGTGGGCAGCTGATGATAAATTATATCACCAGAAAAAAAATCAGAAACTAATAAATGGAAGGTCACTATAATGTTTCCATATCAAATGAATTCACAAACATTGCACCCATTGATTGGTCCCCTTAATGAAGAAAAATTTTAGATTTTGTGAAGGATGTTGGTTGCCAGGCTTGAACTAACCTTAGTAATGGAAGAGTCAAAACTCCATCACAAGGCCAGGCATGGTGGCTGATGCCTGTAATTACAGAACTTTGGGAGGTCAAGCTGGGAGATTGCTTGAGCTCAGGAGTTTAAGACCAGCCTGGGCAACGTAGTGAGACCTCGTCTCTATTAAGAAAAAAAAAGTACCTGGGCATGGTGGCATGCACCTGTAGTCCCAGCTAGTTGGGAAGCTGAGGTGGGAGGATTTCTTGAGCCTAGGAGGTTGAGGCTGCAGTGAACTGTGATCATGCCACTGCATTCCAGCCTTGGAGACAGAGTGAGACCCTGTATGAAATGAAATGAAATGAAATGAAATGAAATAAACACCCAGCACAGTCCTTGTTAGAGTGAAAGCTTATGGAGGCCAGAATAAATTTGGTCTTCGGTCCATCAGTGGATCAGTGGATCACATGGCTCAGCAGACTCATCCAGTAGTTGTTTCCTCTGTCCTCAGATGTATATTTAGGATGGATATATTCAGGTGCTGGTAGAATCCTTAACTCATAAAGTAAGAGTCATTATAGTAGGAAATATCAATTGGATGTCCCTGAAACTGCTTTTTCTCCTCAGCTGAGATAGTAAATTGGAAGCAGTATTAGCACTACCCTCGAGGACTTAATGAGACAGAGTTGGTGGTCCCATTATATTCCAATTCAATTCAGCAGTATAACCCTTGCAGAAACCAAATGGCTTATGTAGGAGTAAAATGGGCTAACACTAATTTAATCAAGTGAAATAGACGGGTTATTGTCACTAAAAATGCATGCATGATCATGAAGATACCATAAGCTTTGAATAGTGTGTTGAGACTGAAAACTTAAAATGATGGTAACTGAGAATAGCACTAAAGCCCCAAACTTTGGTCACACTCTCATCTATGTAAGAACGTGACCAAAAGGGGGAAATTGTTAAATAAAATGACGGGAGGCCATTGCTTTGGACTGAGCTCATGCACTAGGCCCCAACAGAACAGACCAAATCAAAATGGAGTCATTCATGCTAAATGTGACATCATCAAATGGAAACTTTAAGAAAGAAGATAGATCCCATAACAAACCATTCTTTTTTCTCCTAAAATCAGGAAATTCCAGCATAATAAGGAAGTCCTGTCTGCTATAACCCTTACCAGAAAAGTAACCTGAAGTAATCTGATGTTAACCAATCGAGTTTTTTTAGTTGTTTCATTTCCTTGTTCCCACCTCACAAAATCCACTGCTCTGCTATTTTCCAGTGAGATTTGAAAGCAAATAAGTCAATTTATAATGGTGACAGATTGACATCAATGCCTGAAGTTTTGGTCAATTTCTCAATTTTGACCAAAATTTTGGGAAGTTGACCAAATGGGAGAATTGTAAAGTTTAGCCTAATGCTGTCTCCTTATATATTTTACATTTGGCCTAAAGGTTTCTCCATACACAGTGAACTGTAACCTAATGGGAGGTGGAAATATACTGTATCCCATTCTTATAACCAGTAGCCAAGTTCCAGTCAGTCACAGAAGCTGAGTTTCAGCCAATCACAGGTGGCTGACTGTTCAAACCATTTTCAAATAAGGCAGACTCTGATCTGTAACCAATCCAGCTGTTTCTGTGTCTCACCTCCTTTTTCTGTCCACAAGCGTTACCGGACCATGTGGCAGCCCCAGAGTCTCTCTGTACCTATTCTGATGGTGAGCTGTATTTTGCTCAGTTAAACTCTGTTACATTTAATTTATCAACAGTTTTTCTTTTAGCACAATAAACACTTGGTATCCAGCTTCCAATTTGGTAAATATGTTTTTCTCAATTCCCATGGTGATTCCATTCTCTGTGATACCATCCTCAATGACCTTCACCATCTTGACATTTTGTAGAACATCGCACTAGCCAATTGTATTGACAATGACACACCAATTAAATCTAATTAGCATGAAGTGGTAAGTGGCCTTGGTAAAACACATGTTCCATTTGATGGATGGTAAACCCACAAATACTCAGAGAACTGATTTATCAGTCCAGTTGTCTGAATCAATCCAGAACATTACTTCTCTCCCTTTTGTACATAACAAATTGTTGCATCTTGTGGCCTCCTAAAAGGAAAAGATGTGTATGGGGGTGTGTGTACATGTACACACACATATGCATATATACATACATAAATGAATAACAGGCATTCAACTTACAACAGTAATTATTTTCGTATGACAGAATGATTACCTTTATTTGGTAAATGTATTGTATATTTTGTTTCAGACATAACAGATTTCAGTAGGAGACTTTAAGGGAAGAGAAAAAATGTAAAAATGTATGCTTCTCTATTTTTTCTCATAATTAAAAATAAAACTGTTTAATTTACCTGTTTAAAATTTATTTTAATATTTGAATCATAATATCCATTATTCCCTCCACTTTTCCCATTCATAGTCTTGCACTTAAACACACAAGTTGCCCCTTATTTGTAACTTTTTGTATTCTTAATATGATTTTTTGTTGTTATTTTGTTTTGGAAAATGGATAATCCCATGTATAATACATCATTCCTGCTTATTTAGCCAGATTTTATTAGGGCTGAATATAGTCTTTCACCCGACAGATGTAAATCTTTATATTAAGGTTATTTTTTTAAACCACTCAATGAGTCTGTTACAAACCTTTAATTGTATTTGTAAGTATTATATAAATAATCAAAGTAGTCCTTTAATACAGCTGATACTGTGTTTGTTAAAACTGTACTCAAACTGTTGAGAATTTTTGTCAGAGGTCTTCCTATACACACAAATTGGTTCCAGAATGCTTGTTAATGAGGTGCAAACTTTTTATGTATGTACAGCATTGTTGCTCTGTTCTTTATCCTGTTTAAGTCACACTTAGAGAACTCAGCTCCTAATTTCCTCCCTTCAAAAGGGATTGTTGTTGTTGTTTCAGTTTTTAGCTAATTTCCTTTATTTATACTGCCTTTGTCATGTGTTGATAATGTTGACCAACTTCAGATATTTACAGATTTGAAACAGCTGCAAACATATAATTAGATCTTATCAACTTTGGCCATATGTTTGTGAACAAAACTCTCTTCCCTCTGCCACCAAAGAGCTAAAAACACTTAGGAATTTGGCAAGCTTACAGACTTCAGTATTCTAACTCTTCCTTCTAGGATCCTAGATCTTAATGAGCTTCCTAAAACTAATCTATGTAAAATACTCTCATAAACTTCAAGGAAGTCCACGATCTATCTTTTTAGAATGGTGTTATCCAATTTAGATAAAGGTCGCACTTATGCTATCTGGTGATGTCCTTCACAATAAATGCTTTACCTATTACTACTGAATTAATGACAATGAGGATCACCTAATCTGCTACATTCTTCAGCGTTTTTACACCCCTAGAAAAAGAGCAATTTGTAATAAAACCTCTCATGCATACTCATAACTTGCTTTACAGGGCAAGGATCCCATTTCTGCAGGCTGAAATGAATGTACCTGACAATCTTCCATCCCACTTCTGTTTGTCTTGTTAGGCTCTTGAAATGTAGCTTTGATTTTCATCAGTTATAACAGCGTCAGGCTTTTTTTTTTTTTTTTTTTTTTTTTTTGAGATGGAGTCTCGCTTTGTCGCCCAGGCTGGAGTGTAGTGGCGCGATCTCTGCTCACTGCAAGCTCCGCCTCCCAGGTTCACACGATTCTCCTGCCTCAGCCTCTCGAGTAGCTGGGACTACAGGCGCCCGCCACCAAGCCCGGCTAATTTTTTGTATTTTTAGTAGGGACGGGGTTTCACCATGTTAGCCAGGATGGTCTCGATCTCCTGACCTCGTGATCCACCCGCCTCGGCCTCCCAGAGGGCTGGGATTACAGGCGTGAGGCACCGTGCCCAGCATTTTTTTTTTTTTTTTTTTTTTTTTTTTTTTTTTTTGAGATGGAGTCTGGCTCTGTCGCCTAGGCTGGAGTGCAGTGGCACGATCTCAGCTCACTGCAAGCTACACCTCCCGGGTTCACGCCATTCTCCTGCCTCAGCCTCCCAAGTAGCTGGGACTACTGGCATGAGCCACCGCACCCGGCCGGCATTTTTCTTTTAATGTTATGAATGTATACAGCATGTTTCAATAGAACAGACTCTATAATATTCAGGTACTTAATAAATTCCATTTCATTAGGGAAACTGCCATCTTCCTACCTACACCTCCTACTAGTAGATAACAACTCGGATTTTAATCAGCTTACTCTGCTGGTTAAAAGTTTGTACTAACTGGTATGAGTCATTACCTTGTTGAGATTTTATTCCTTTTTTCCTATTTAACAATCATTTCTTAGCAAAACTGAATTAGTGATAAGCTGCATTTGGAAGAAGGGTAGAGATGTTTTATCCTTGATTGCTTTAACACAGTATAAAATCAAATAAAAATAAAATGAAAAGCAAATGAAACAGCAAAGGTAATGGAAATCAAGGGAAAGATTACATAAAGAAGTACAGAAAAGCAATTTCAGAAACAAAGAGTTCAATCAAAATTCAAATTAATTAAAACATTTCTAGGTCAAAAATCTGCAGTCAAATAACCCAGAAGAAATGCACTGGGCTAAGCTGAATTGCTGTTTTCATTAAAAAATGGCATGTGATTTTGACCTGCATAATGAACTTTGCAGGAAGATGACAACTGTTAAAATAATGAAACATTTGTTGCAAGAAACTAGGAAAGAGGAATAAAGGAAAAGCATGAGGAAATAGCAAAGTTTGTCTGTAGGCTACAAAAATAAAGTTTACATCAAAATTTTTGCCTCACTTGGGGTGGATCACAGAGACATGGCTATTAAAGAGTTTTAATAAATGTTCATGTTTAAATGCAACCCTCATAGTCTTAGTAGTTAGTAGAGATGTCAAGGAAATAAACAGATTTTATAGCTCAATTTAGTTTTAAGCATGAATAAATTCATACTGTCTTCCTTTCTTCCTAGGGCTGTGGGTGGAATGGAGGATGGGGAACAGAGGAGAGATACTAGGTGGAGGCACATTTGAACAAAGCTGAATTTAGCTTAGATTTTAATTCACTTGTGTGGGTGCGCTTCTTCCGAGAAGACAGAATCCAAATGATCTTCTGGGAAAAATGTTAACCATAATGAAAGCAAGACAAGTTCTAGAACCACTAGAAAAAATAAGTACCTGAACCTCTCATTTCAAGTCAAGTAGCCCATTTCTTATGTAAACCAGTTGATCTAATAGTGTTCATTGTAGGCACTTATCTTCCTTCACGCTCTCTAAGTTACCTGCTTCAGGACTTAACTCATAGAGTTCTTTAGAGAAACAATTACTTGAAGATTGACATGCCTTTCTCTGACGTATTTTTAACACAAATAATATAATGACACTTCTTGAATCTTCCTGGGTGTTTTCAGTACTTGTAACAGAAAGCTCTCTTTGCAAATTCAGAATAGAAGACACATTAAAAGGCAAATAGCAAACAAAAAAAGTCTGTAGCAAAGGAGAGTCAGAAACTGTTTTTATACAAAGAGCTGTTACACTGTAAATTGGCTATTAGTAAACAGTGAAGAATATGTGTGTGGCAGGGTTTGCTGTTGCTCAGGAATACCCAGTTCCCCTCTCTCCCTGTGGTTTTGGATTTAGGTGAACCACATGACTAGTTCTGACCAATGGATTGCAAGAGGAAGACAGGTGCGTTCCCTCCAGGCTGAGGCCTTGAGAAGTCAGCATGAGACCCTCTCTTCCCCTGACATAGCAACCCTGGAAGCCATGTGTTCCAAGTGACAGAGCTGCAAGTAGTTGGAGACAGGCAGTTCTGTACTCCTACCTGAAGGAAGTGCCCAAGAGAGCAGTTAGATCTCACATGGGTTTACATAAATGAAAATTAAATGTTAACGAGTTAAGGCACTGATATTTAGTGGTTACTGCTTATCACAGCATAATACAATCCCTTATTATTTATTCAAAACATAAATATAAAATTATAAAATTCACAATTCAGAAATATAACTAGTAAACAATTATCCAACATGACTTGTTAAAAGTAGATGTGCAAATTTTTTAAAGACATATTAATTTATTGTTTAACACTTTTTTGAAAAATCATAATACCCCTATATGACTAGGTGTGATAAAGTAGACACTTTCATGCATTTTCTGATGAAATCATAAGTAGGTGAAATATTATTGGCATTTTTTTCATTAAAAAGTCTCACAGCTTTGATCCAACACATACATTTCTGATAAGACAAAAAAATCAAAAGCTACAGAGAAGACTTTATGCAAAATATGTTTATTTTAGCATTAATCATTGTAGGGAACAAAAGGAAACCATTTTAAATGAGAGGTAATATGGGATTTAAATAAACCATAATAACTCAATATGATTAATATCAATCAGCCATTGAAATAGAGTTCCCGAAAGCCATAGGTAATACAATTTTTTAAAAATTTATTTTTCTCCATTTTTTTCTAAGTAACGGTAACTAAAGGGTTGTGTTCTGGGAAAGTATATTTACAATAAATCTAATTAAATTGCTCTGAACAGGAAAGGCGAAAGAGATGGAGATAGGAATAATTGCTAGAAAGAGGACAACCGATAACCTGGCTATTGCCTGGGGTGAGGTCGAAGGAAAAAAAAGAACTCCTGAATGGCAAAGAGAATGAGAAAAACTAATGTGATGGAAAATTTTGAAGCAGTAGAAACAGGAAGTATAATGTAAGTCCTTTCCTTCATCGGCCAAGGAAAATATTTGTCAAGTTCTACCTTACTACGCTTTATATAAATGAACTATTTGGAGAATATTGGGGGAGAGATGCTGAGGTTTATGTTTAAATTTTACAGATGTGAAAACAGAGGTAGCATGTATAGAATCTGATTAGTGTAATAGAATGAAGAATTGGAAAAGTCTGCACAAATTGCATTAAAACAAATACAAATAATAAATAAATATTAGAACTATCTGGAAATTAGCATGAAATACAACACCCAAAATGTAAATATCCTCCTGCCTCCTCTTAGAGAACTAAATTGTCTCAATGGTGACACCACATGCAGGGCTGAAACTTAACTACTGTATGCAATCCTATCAAAGGAAATATGAAATCAAATAATCTTGGAAAGACAGGAGGAACAAAAATCTGCAGAGGAAGCTAAGAATTGACAATAGAAGAGACTCCTGTAGCCACATTTAAAGAGGGAATGGAACCCTACAGAGAAAACAATACCAGATTAGGACCTTGTCTGGTACTAGATTAGCTCAGCTACGGCAGCTCTGACTCCAGCAAGGAATGCCTGGATCGACTGTTTTTTTTTTTTATTTTAGTTTTGTTTATTTTATTTTATTTTAGATTCAGGGGGTATATGTGCAGGTTTGTTATATGGGTATATTGCATGATGCTGAGGTTTGGACTTAACAATGATCCCATCCTCCAAGTTGTGAACATTACACCAAACAGGTAGTTTTTCAACCCTTTCTCCACTCCCTGCCTCCCCACTTTAAAAATCCCCAGAGTTTATTATTCTCATCTCTGTGTCTTTGTGTACCCAATGTTTAGCTTCCACTTATAAGTGAGAACATACAGTATAATATGAGAACATACAGTATTTGATTTTCTTTTTCTGCTTTAATTTGCTTAGGATAATGACCTCCAGCTGCATTCATATTGCTGCAAAGGACATGATTTTGCTCTTTTTCAGGACTGCATAGTATTCCATGGTGTATATGTACTACATTTTCTTTATCTGGTCCACTGTTGATGGCTAACTCGGTTGATTCCATGTCTTTGCTATTGTGAATAGTGATGCAATAAACAAAGGAGTGCAGGTGTCTTTTTGGTACAATGATTTATTTCCCTTTGGGTATATACCTAGAAATGGGATTGACTAACTTGACTGCCATTAGATGTTCCACTAGATGGAAGATATGACAGCTTTGTTGCTTGTTTTGATGGAAAGCTATGGATAGCTTTTTTTTTCACTTCTACTTTTAGAAATTATTGGAATATTCTTTAGCATAAAATATAGAATTTTATAATGAAATATAATTTTAATATTCATGGCTGGGTGAGCAGGGACAGGGAGAGTGAAGAAGATAATGAGTTTAAGGAGAGACCATTAAGTCAGCAACAGTAAAATTGTGTTCGCCTGTCTCACTGTCTTCCATTTTAGGTCTTGTTCTCAAGTTTTCTAGCTTCAAATCTGAGATGATCCCATCTGACCTTCGCCTTTAATAAGTTTATAGCCCATGTATTTTCAAAAACAACTTTAAATGACAGGCAGTAAAACATATTTAAAGCAGGACACTATTTAAATAAACAGTTGGTTGAGTTCAGAAACCATGAACGAATGGGAGGGCATAAAGATGCTTGTCTTCCTGGGTTACTCTAAAGTTTCTTTTCTCTGTAAATGTCCCTTTTTCCTACGAAGTGACCCTTCATTGATGATGCTGGCCTATGTGACCTGGCTGTAATTGATTGGACCATTTGCAACCTCTTACCCTAGCTGGGCCAGTCCATTTCTCTTTGCATGGAATTTGGAATTGCAACTAGGAGATAGCATTAGGAAAGAGAGCTGGAATTATAATAAGGAAGGAGCAAGAGGAGAAAAAGCAAACCTGGTTTGGGGGAGAAAGACAGAGAAAGAGTTAGAATGAGAGAGAGAGAAGCCGACTCCGAGAAAGAACAGATTGAAGACACAGAGTCTTGAGATATTTCTAGTATTATGTCCTTTGCTGAGGCCCAACACTGCTAACTCTACCACTGTGTTATTTGATCAACCCATTTATCTATTTTTACTCAAGCTGACTCAAGTTATTTTATGTTAATTGCAGCTAATGATTGCTAAACCATGCTGACAGAGAATTGTGTCAGAAACTACAGAGAAAATTCTAATATGCTAACTTAACTGGAAGCCTTTACAAAAGAGAAAAATGATAGATTCTATAGTATTTATCATTCCATACAAGGTAACATGCAAATTAAAATAATAAATACTAAACCACAGAATAAATTTATGATTTACTTTTACTCTATTTATTAACTGATACAATGAATGTATAATGTACATTTTAATAATAAAATATTATGCTTAGTCATTTAATATACGCATAAGAAAACAAATAAAAAAATCTCCAGTGATACTCAGCAGGTGATTTAAGGGTTTACTTCTGTCTTTAAGGTATTAATATCTGTGCTTTTGCCTATAACAATGAGAATACAAACTGAAGTTTTCCAAAAGCACTAACTGGTTTTTTCAAAAATAAAAAACAGATTTGTTTATGCTTATTATACTCAAAATTATGAAGGTAAGTTAATTTGTAAATAATTTAGAGTATTTATACATAAAGAAAGCAGAATTGTTCCTTCTTAATTCCTATTAAATAGAAAGTTTCATTTCTTTGGACATTCTGATATTATGATACCTTATTTCAAGAGTCCTGATACTTCATCAGAATACTTCCATTTTTTTTATGAGGAATTGAGTAAAATGTATTTTCTATTATAATTTGTGACTAAAAATAGAAGAAATAAATGATGACTTAAATTTGAATTAAATCTGGAAACATTTATATTTCCTTCTCAATTTTCTTTTAGTTCCATCAGGCAGAGAGAAGAAAACATTTAGGCGATGTTAAGGAGGATATTTTCAAAGAGAGAAAAACTGAAGATGCCACTCAAATAAAATTTTAAGCTGGGGATAATTTGAATCCTTCTTTTTGGAAAGTGGATACTTTGTAAGCAATAATGTTTCAATTCAGAGATGCCTTTGTTCCAGAAGTTTTTGGCCCTTGATGACCTTTTAGCTTATTCATGCAAATGCATGAATACATCTTCCTATGTATACAGGGTGGTGGACCCTCTTTTCATTTATCTTATAAATGTAGAATCCTGTTTCTTTCTAGTTCTTTCAGATAGCCATTTGCTGGCCCTGGTTCTTAAATTTTCTCTGGTTTGTTTTTAGAGTTATTTCCTTCCCCAGCATGAAGACTTCTAAAAACCATAATGTAGTAGATTTAGCCAAAAAAAATCTTCTTTTTTTTTTTTAAATTTATTTAATTTTGTAATCTAGACGTTCATTGGTCTTGACATAAAACTTCTTAGGTTCAACTTTTTGCTCCTATTTGGTTAACTTTGGGCAGATTATTTTAACTTGCCTCTGTTTATTCAATTGGAAAATGGAAAGACTAATTGAGCAATTTTCATTAGCTGTTGAGAGAGTGAAATGAGGAAATACATAAACAAAGGTTGAAACCGCCTTCCCGAAGATGATGACAGGGAGAGAGGTCTGGCATGGCTGACTCCATCTTGCTTCTAGCCTCACAGGCTCGCTGTCCTCTCTCATTCCTGGACCTAAACCAGGCTAACCATGGGAGGAATTTAGTTTATAGTTTAACTTTAAAGCAAGCATGATCATAGTCCCTCCCTAAAACTGATCCCCTCCTTCTTTCTGGATTGAAACTGCATTTGTAAAACTAATGAGAAGCCAGGAGATTAGTATTATGAGAGGAGCCCAAATTCTGTTATGATGTAGGTATAGCTAAATGTGCCATCATCCCCTAGTTTGCCTTTCTACAATCCTTTCTTGCTCAGGAGCCATATGGCCAGAAGTCACAAGACTTGTGACTTCCCCAATTGCTCCTATAGATAACATCACTATTGTAGAACCTAAAATTGGTCTTTTGAGATTTTTTTAGACTTTTGCATTCTGGCAACTGACCCCACCTGGACCTCTAACTCATGACTCAACTGGTCCTGTGGTTCCCACCCAGAGGTGGACTCAGCACACGAGGACTATTTTCTCCTTTCTGTGACTTCATCCCCAACCAGTCAAGATTACCCATTCCTTAGACCTCTGCCCACCAAATTATCCATAAAAACCCTAGCCTCAGAGTTCCCAGGGAGCCTGATTTGAATGATAACTCCAGTCCTTCCGATTAGCTGCCTTGCATTAATTAAATTCTTTCTTTACTGTAATACCACAGTCTTGGTAAATTGGTTTTGTCTGTGCAGTGGGCAGGATGAACCCATCAAGTAATTACAAAATGTGGAGAGAAATGGAGGTCAGGAATTTGAGACCAGCCTGGCCAACATGGTAAAATCTCGTCTCTACTAAAAGTACAAAAATCATACCCCTGTAATTCCAGCTACATGGGAGGCTGAGGCAGGAGAAGCCCTTGAACCTGGGAGGCGGAGGTTGCAGTGAGCCAAGGTCAAATCACTGCACTCCATCATGGATGACAGAGTGAGTGAGACTGGGTCTCACAACAGAACAAAACAAAAAAACTATGCAGGTAAATAATATACTTAAAGGGCAAAGTGAATTTGCTCCATTGGCTATTACCAGGCATAGACAATATCAAGAATAGCTAATATTTTCTATTCATAATAGGGAATAGTCAGTCAGGGTCAAGGCAAAAAATAAATGAGTAAATTGCGGAGAATTTTTTTAAACGGAACATTTAAAAATATATACAGCACAGTTAAACTCACAGGGAGGTGAAGCACTGGAGCTGACCACAGTGGAAAGCTGTTACCAGCATAGGTTGAAAGGAGTGTGATGAGGAAATGGTTATGCAAAGTCAGAGAAAACTGTGGGATAGGACTGAGAAGAGCTATGACCTTTGCAAGAGAAAACCAATCACTGATAAACCACAGCTTGGCAGTGACACAACCAAGAAAATTAAGAGCTGAGTTTACTTTCCTCTCACCCTCTGGGCACCAGCTGATTCTCCCATGGCCTGAATCCAACTGGAAGTCAGAGGGCAAAAGGGACTTCATGATGAAAGCTGCAAAAGTCGTCCCCTCAGGCACAAACAAAGCGAGCAATGGGGAAGAGTAGATCTGGAGGTGCTATAGGAAACTATCCAGTCCATTACCTGATTCACTCCTCAGCATCCAGCCTTGTTGTTTTCCCAATGATTCATGGCCCAACAAGGAGAGCCCACAAAATCCATTCAACAATTATCATCTGTGTGATGGTTAAGGGATGGCCAGATAGCCGGTAAACATTATTCCTGGGTGTGTATGTGAAGGTGTTTCCCGAAAAGACTAGCATTTGAATTGGCCAACTGAGTAAAGCAGATATCCCTCAGCAATGTGAGTGGGCACCATCCAATTCTTTGAGGGCCTAAATAGAAAGCAAAGGTGGAGGAAGGTTGATATGGTTTGGCTGTATCCCCACCCAAATCTCATTTTGAATTGTAGTTTCCATAATCCCCACGTATCCTAGGAGGGAACAGGTGGAGATAATTGAATCATGGAGGCAGTTTCCCCATCCTGTTCTCATAATAGTGAGTGAGTTCTCACGAGATCAGATGGCTTTATAAGGGGCTTCCCTACCACCCCCACCCCCCCACCTTCACTCTGCCCTGCTCCTTGCTGCCACCGTAAGAAGAAGGATGTGATATCTTCACCTTCTGCCATGATTGTAATTTCCTGAGGCTTCCCCAGACCTGCTGACCTGTGAGTCAATTAAACCTCTTTCTTTGATAAAGTACCCAGTCTCGGGTACGTCTTTATTAGACTAATACAAAGGGCTAATTTACCCTCTCTGTTTGAGCTGAGACATCCATCTTATTCAGCCTTTGGATGTCAGAGCTCCTGGTTCTCAGGCCTTCAAACATGGATCAGGCCTTCTGACTCTGACTGGGATTTACAACATTGGACCCCAATTATCAGGCCGTAGTACTCAGACTGCATTTACACCACCAGCTTTCTTGGATCTCCAACTTTTGTACAGCAAATCATGCGATTTGTCAAGTTCCATAACCACATGAGCCAATTCCTATAAAAAATTTCCTCTTATGTCTGAGTCTGTATCATCTATATCTATATCATTTTTATCTATGTCTTTGTCCTGTATATCTATCTTTATCTCCTATTGGTTCTGGTTTTCTCCAAAACCCTGACTAATACAATGGGTGATGTTAATTTGGACACAATCCTACTTAAAACCTAAAGCTTGAGTCACCACCAGTGTTATTCATATAAAAGGGAGAATAGAAACAATTAACATGAAACATGCCTGCTAGAGTTCTCACTTCTTCAGCTGGGGATGGGGTCCAAGTTGATTATTCCATCAAGTGTTCCCAGCTGCTCTGCCTTCCAAAAATCTTCCCATTTTATTCTCTGCCAAAATGTACTTGTTTTGCTAATCTGATTGACATATGATAATTGTGCCATGATTAATTCTTTAAATTCACTATCTGTGTACTTATCCATATATAATAACTATGTACAAGATGCTTACTACATCAATATTAACTTTATTTAGAAATGCATATTTTAGCATGCATTACCAAAGACATTGCATCTACCAGAAGAAATGAGTTTTTGAGGTGTAGTATAAGTAAGTCAATAAGCTATTTAAGGGCAAAAATTGTTTCTGATGCTTCCCAATTGTAGCCCTTAAGCAGTCAACTGTACCTTCAGTTTAAGTGTACACCGTAGGCAGTCATTGTACTTTCAGTTATCCTCTCAAAGATAAGTCCAGTTTTAATTTTATATTGCAAAGGTAACATATTTAGTATTGCCTTTACTTGTGAAATACTTGCTATCATATATCTCCACTGTGACATGCTGAATGCTCTGCAGCAGAAGCTGCAAACTCCCTGAGAGTAAGTACTTTTTCTATTGTGTTCAGAACTATAAGTCCCACGTTCGCGACAGTGTCTGGCACATAGGCCCTCAATAGATATTTGCTTAAAATAGAGGCAAGCTAAGTAAACAAAAATGACTAAAGACACCTGGTACGTAATAGGCGGTGAACATGATGACATCTAACTGAAAAATGCATCATCTAATTCAAAGTATTAAAAATGCAGATATTTTTACTTGTGAACCAAACAAAATGCATTTATGGACCAAATCTTGCCAGTGGTTTGTATAATAGAAACATGACACTATAGCAATGTGACCAGCATCCTTATGCAGAGTGACCATGGGCAAACTACCTAATAAGTTAAGCCTCAATTCTCTCAACTATGAAATTGATAAGAAATAATATCTACATAATGGGTTCGATTAAAGGGTTAAGTAAGATTTATCATAATTCCTAGCATATAATTAGTGTTCGATAGTGATAATAATATTAATGCTAGTAACAGCTCATGTTTACTGGGTATTTTACATGTTCCAGCCACTGATACATGTAAGTTATCAGCTCCACATTAACTTATTTAAATTGAAACAAAACGAAACAAAAACAGGATTGATTGGAGCCCGGGGTAAGAACCTGGGCTCTTTACTGCTATGATCAATAAATAAAAATAATTGTCTGGACTAGAACTTATTCTAAACCACCGTAGTGACACTCAGATCTCACAAGAATTGTTCTTGCTAGGAGAAGCTGCATGCATCATTTCTGAAAAGTTTGTTGATTTGGAAATACATTTAAACGATATGTATATATGTGAAGATTCCCATATGTGGCGGCACCTTATGAGAATTCCCTGACCTTTTCTGATCTTTCATCAAGCCACAAAACCTTCACATACAATAGAGAATGGAGGAAGGGGAGGAAAGGAAATGAAGGGGAAAAATCAGGTCCTCTGCTCAGATGGCACCAATAGCCTCCCAGGAGTGTGATGCAAATTGCTAAGCTGTTTCCTCTTCATCTCCCTGGGCCTGGCTGCAGAGCCAGGCAGCTCTCCTCACTTTTAAAGATGTGCTGGGGCTTCAAGTTTGACATTGTGCCTGCTTTTGTTTTTCTAGTGAGGACACTTAAGTACTTTGGGATTTTTGATGTGAGACAATTAGGAGCCTAGAATACCATTAGCTAGAAGAGGAGCAAAGCTGGCAGAAATGGAGGCTGCAGAAGATGTTTATTGCCAGCCTTCTGCCTCTGTAATGAGGAGCTTCAAGCAGCTTTGCCATGCAATTGAGATAGAGTGCACAAGATGCCCAATTAGGAGCAAATGACTGCAGTCTTCAGTGGAAGTGATGAATTGGAATTCTCAGATGTAAATAGAAATGGAAGATTGATTATAACATTTTCAAAAAGGAATTTTGTATCACAGTATTATGAGTTTCAAAGCAAAAATTTTAATAAAAATGCTTCCTGTTAGCTTCAGGGATATCAAATTTATGCAAAAAATTGTTTTAAAAAGCTACCCCGCTTTTAAAAGTTTTTAAAGCTGTAATCTAGTTCTTATAACAGCTGCATTCTATACACAATTTGGAATAATATATGTGAAATTTATACAACATTAATTTTAAAAATCAATGAAAAGTCGATAAATCTAACCACAGTGCCTTTACCATAAATAATACGATAATATTAGAAATTTCTGCAGAACTCTTATGAGGATTCAATGAGGCAACTCAAGCATTTATCAAATATTTATGGGCCATATCCTGTGTCAAACATTGTTTCAAGTACTTGGAATATATCAGTGAACAAATGTATTTATTCCCTGTAATCGACGAACTTAGATTCTGATGGGGGCTGAAAGGCAATTACAAAACATATATTATGCAACAAGTAAATTATTTAGCATGTTAGAGGGTGATAAGTAGAGATGAGCAGAGAAAGCGGGATAATATAGAATTCCTGGGGGACAGTCAAGAGGAAAGTTGAATTTTAGCAGCAGTTAACAGCAGTTGTCTCTTTGAAAAGGTGACATTTGAGCAAAACAAATTCAAGAAGGTCAAAGGGGTAGCAATGAAGATATCTAGGAGTAGAGAGTTCCAGGTGGAGAAAACAGCCAGTATTAGGATGTAAGTTGAAAACATGCTTCAGATGTTTGAGGCAAAGCTTTGAGGTCAACATGTCTGGAGCTATGGGAGAAAAAGAAGATGAAAGGGAAGGAATCAAAGAATGCATAGAGGATGAGATCATAGAGCACTCAGTCTATTGAGAGGACTCTGGTTTTACTGTGAGTAAAGTAGGAAACAGTCACAAGATTTCAGAAGAGGAAGTACATGATTTGAGTGTGGTTTAAAAGCATCCCTCCAACTGCTGTGTTGAGAACAGAGCTTCTGAGCAGAAGCAGGGAATTTGTTGAAAGCTAGCACAGTCATTTCAGCAAGAGATCAAGGTAGTCCAGTCCAAGGTGGTGATAATGCAGACAGAACTGAAACAATGAGCCTGGTCGGAAATTCATACTTCATACCTCTCGACTCTCAGTTACTGGCATTTTAAGGAAGTGGGTGATAAAATGATTTGTCTCATTAGTTGTCTTTCCCAGAAAGGCTGGTACAGTTTGTGAATAATATGGAGATGTTTTCTGGACTTCAAAATTCTTCTTCCCCTCTGAGATTTAGCTCAGCTCAATCCTGAATCTAATCAAAGTAAACGGTGTTTAGATTTTTTTTTTATTCTAAGAAGTTTATGATCACTAGTTTTGATGACTCTCCCATAAATCTGCCAATCTGGGAGTCTGTTTTATATAGCCTTTTGGCTGTAGACCATTGAAAATAATGGCTTAACTCCCATCCATATTTTTGGCCTCAACTACATTTTTCTATATCTTTGTTTACGCTAATTTATTACTGTTTCCATCTCTTCCTAGACACTTTTTTTTGTCATTCTTTTCTCACTACAGGTTTAAAGTATTTTAATTCATTGAAACTGTAATGTAATATATCATCACTCAGTATCCTCTCTTGATATTAAAATGATAATAAATATGTGAGACAGATGCTGTCTATATATTCCTTTTAGCCATGAATTTAGGCGTATATGAGGTAAAACTTGCAAGAAGTTAATACCACCTAGCACATACTAAAATATGGCTTTAAGGAAGATTTTATAAGTTGAAATGCATGCACCATTTTATACAGGTTTGTTTAACAGATGTATGAAACAAAGCTAATAATTTTTCCCAGAACGGAAATTTTAATCATTCGTAGCCACCTTTAAGAAGCAAGGACTTTGTTCTAGGTAGGCATGAGCAGTTTGACAAATCTGAATATATTATGTACATATCTCTGAACTTCATGCATTTTCAAGGGGGCCAAAATATATAATGTCACCCCCTAAATTCAACATAATTTATTCATTTATTCATTCAACAACTATTATATCTTGAATGCTTATTATGTTTCAGGTACTCTTGCAAGGACTAACATTAAAATGCTGAATATGCACTGGAATACTTGCTGCTTTCACAGAGCTTACCGTCTAGGGAAAGAGCCTGGAGGGGACATTAATAACATAATCACACTAATGAGCATGCCACTACAAGCAGAGGAAAATGCTTTCAGAGAAAACATATCACCATTCTATGAGAATGAATTTCATAGAAAATAAAAGAAAGTCAGTGTTTATGTATGGATTCTTATCAAATGGAACTTGGTTGCTAAGGTTAACTTACAAATATTTAAAAAACTGCAAATGAGAAATGTGTTAAAAATCACCTTGCAAGACTTATGGTCATTCAAGATATCATTTCCCAAGTAGGACACTACACTCAAATATATTGGTAATTTTTTTCTAACAAGAAGATGTCCTGACAAAAGAAGCGCCAATTCACAGTTTACATTCACTTCTATTCTATTTGTGGGTTTTCATACCATTTATCCATTTCATGGTCATTTGCTAAGCTCTCATTCACAGAAGCCTGTGGTACTCCCTCCGATTATTGTTAATATTTTTACCAAATTGGAAAAATATGCAAGAAAGTTAAAGTGTGCTTATCTGTGCCCAAAATGCCTCTGGCAAATCAAATGTCTTTATCTTTGATTGCCTACTAGGCTATTTGATGGAAAATGTACTAAAAATTGAGGATACAGCATAAATAAGGTAGAGGAATTGATGGCTCAAAGGAATAAGTGACCTCCCTAAGAACTCACAGCTAGTAAGAAGTGAATTGGAAATTCCAGTTGCGGTTTGTCTGACTCCAACGCTTTTGTACTTTCCATATTCAGAATAATATCTTCATAACAAAAAGGACCACTTTTTTCCTTTCCAGACTGTAAGTATCTTTAAGGGGCATCTAGTTTACATGATGAAAAATAGCAACAATAAACAAAAAACTACTAGGACAAAAGTTATGTATACCCTAAAGGACACAATCTCTTTTATTCTAAGACATTATTGTTGACAAGTCACAAAAGCTGGTTTCAAAAGTACAAACACTTCTGTGCTGCATGAAACACAAGGGGAGGAAAAGCAGTTTAGTTCAAAAAGGCCTAACACAAAAACGGAAAAAAAACACCCACATCTTGGCAATGCCAGTCTCTAATTCCTGCTCATCTTTGCCTCATTTTCTTTTCTTCTGAAAATCAGCTTCCCCTGTTTCAGAACTCACATGGCTAAACATGGCTACCCTTGCAGCTTCCTTGTTTGCTTCTTGTGCATGCCAGCAACCATCACAGACCAACTAGCCTATCTCAGTAACAATTCAACATTTCTAGAAGGCAGAATCTGACTGGCCTGGTCTTGGTCACGGGTTCACCTGAATGCAGGAAGCTGTGTCTGGGGAATGGAAGACTTAGTACACTACAACTGATAGAAACCCAATCTCTCACAGGGTTGGTGACCAGAGAGAAGAAATGCAACAAGAGATAGACAGAGACTCCATTAGGTAGCCTGGTTGTTGCGTAGTTTAGGAGGCAAGTTTTGGCCAGGCGCAGTGGCTCATGCCTGTAATCCCAACAATTTGGGAAGCCGAGGTGGGCGGATCATCTGAGGTCAGGGGTTTGAGACCAGCCTGACCAACATGGAGAAACCCCGTTTCTACTAAAAACAAAAAAATACAAAATTAGCTAAGTTATGTTGGCGCATGTCTGTAATTCCAGCTACTCAGGAGCCTGAGGCAGGAGAATCGCTTGAACCTGGGAGGCAGAGTTTGCGGTGAGCAGAGATCGCACCATTGCACTCCAGCCTGGGCAACAAGAAAACTCCGTCTCAAAAAAATAGGCAAATTTTAAAATATATGATATAAAAATGAATGCAATTGAGTGACATAGTTAGACCATGAAGAATCAATAAAACTATTATGAAAATTTTTGGGTGAAATATGTCAAGGAGAAGAGGAGAAAATGAAAATTTGATGAGGGAGAGAATTAAAGTCAAGACGTTATCAAGAGTGAAGAAAAGTGTGAATACAGAGATGCAGTGAGAGTTCACAGGGCAGTGAAGAAACTAAGCTGAGGATGCTAGTGAGGATTAAATAAAAAAGGTTCATCATAGAACCCAGTCTCTACTAAAAATAGAAAAATTAGCCAGACATGGTGGTGCACTCCTGTAATTCCAGCTACTCAGGAGGCTGAGGCACGAATATCGCTTGAACCTGGGAGGCAGAGGTTGCAGTGAGCTGAGATCATGCCACTGCACTCCAGCCTGGGCAACAGAGTGAGACTCTGTCTCAAAAAAAAAAAAAAAGAAAAGAAAAGAAAAAAGAAAGAAAAAAAGAAATGGAAATTTCAAGTATGTCTTCCAAGGTGAGTTATGGTAGATATTACAAGCCCAGGTTAAAAAAAATGAGAAACTGTTATAAGTTTGGGGCTGAAATTATCTGATGCAAATGGATCTTAGAAAAGATAACCTGTGAAAAGTGTCCCAATAACAGCATAGGTCATCTTGTAATACTGCATTGGAGTCTAAAGCATGCAAAATATCAATATCAGTAAATTCAGGACATAAAAAAAAACAGCTTTTGGAAACTATGTGTAATGCAAGCTTGAATTGAAGGTCTGTTAAGGTTATGCTTTGTTTAAGTGACCATATCATTAAATGGTAAGTTGATAACTTTGCCTGAATTTAGACACAGCTTGTGGAAAAATAAATGAGGGAACAAGATCACTGAGAATTTTCAAACTCTTTTTTTAAAGTCATGCATTTTTTTTCTTTAAGAAAAGTGAGGAGCGGTGCCTCTGCGTAGTGTTTCTTTCATAAGCAGCAAGTGTCTACCAAGTCCACTCAGGATTCGGTTAGTACATAATTGTGAGGCAGTTTGTGTATAATTAAGAGAATTGGTTTATCGGCTGTTTGTTCCAAACAAGCATGCATTTCAAGATGCAGAAAATCCCTAAGTTATTTTCCTTGAGGCTAAGTACTTTTTGTTTATTTTTTCTTTTTTTTTTTTTTTTTTTTTTTTTTTTTTTTTTTTTTTTTTTAATTATACTCTAAGTTTTAGGGTACATGTGCACATTGTGCAGGTTAGTTACATATGTATACATGTGCCATGCTGGTGCGCTGCACCCACTAATGTGTCATCTAGCATTAGGTATATCTCCCAATGCTACCCCTCCCCCCTCCCCCGACCCCACCACAGTCCCCAGAGTGTGATATTCCCCTTCCTGTGTCCATGTGATCTCATTGTTCAATTCCCACCTATGAGTGAGAATATGCGGTGTTTGGTTTTTTGTTCTTGCGATAGTTTACTGAGAATGATGGTTTCCAATTTCATCCATGTCCCTACAAAGGATATGAACTCATCATTTTTTATGGCTGCATAATATTCCATGGTGTATATGTGCCACATTTTCTTAATCCAGTCTATCATTGTTGGACATTTGGGTTGGTTCCAAGTTTTTGCTATTGTGAATAGTGCCGCAATAAACATACGTGTGCATGTGTCTTTATAGCAGCATGATTTATAGTCCTTTGGGTATATACCCAGTAATGGGATGGCTGGGTCAAATGGTATTTCTAGTTCTAGATCCCTGAGGAATCGCCACACTGACTTCCACAATGGTTGAACTAGTTTACAGTCCCACCAACAGTGTAAAAGTGTTCCTATTTCTCCGCATCCTCTCCAGCACCTGTTGTTTCCTGACTTTTTAATGATTGCCATTCTAACTGGTGTGAGATGATATCTCATAGTGGTTTTGATTTGCATTTCTCTGATGGCCAGTGATGATGAGCATTTCTTCATGTGTTTTTTGGCTGCATAAATGTCTTCTTTTGAGAAGTGTCTGTTCATGTCCTTCGCCCACTTTTTGATGGGGTTGTTTGTTTTTTTCTTGTAAATTTGTTTGAGTTCATTGTAGATTCTGGATATTAGCCCTTTGTCAGATGAGTAGGTTGCGAAAATTTTCTCCCATGTTGTAGGTTGCCTGTTCACTCTGATGGTAGTTTCTTTTGCTGTGCAGAAGCTCTTTAGTTTAATTAGATCCCATTTGTCAATTTTGTCTTTTGTTGCCATTGCTTTTGGTGTTTTGGACATGAAGTCCTTGCCCACGCCTATGTCCTGAATGGTAATGCCTAGGTTTTCTTCTAGGGTTTTTATGGTTTTAGGTTTAACGTTTAAATCTTTAATCCATCTTGAATTGATTTTTGTATAAGGTGTAAGGAAGAGATCCAGTTTCAGCTTTCTACATATGGCTAGCCAGTTTTCCCAGCACCATTTATTAAATAGGGAATCCTTTCCCCATTGCTTGTTTTTCTCAGGTTTGTCAAAGATCAGATAGTTGTAGATATGTGGCATTATTTCTGAGGGCTCTGTTCTGTTCCATTGATCTATATCTCTGTTTTGGTACCAGTACCATGCTGTTTTGGTTACTGTAGCCTTGTAGTATAGTTTGAAGTAAGGTAGTGTGATGCCTCCAGCTTTGTTCTTTTGGCTTAGGATTGACTTGGCAATGCGGGCTCTTTTTTGGTTCCATATGAACTTTAAAGTAGTTTTTTCCAATTCTGTGAAGAAAGTCATTGGTAGCTTGATGGGGATGGCATTGAATCTGTAAATTACCTTGGGCAGTATGGCCATTTTCACGATATTGATTCTTCCTACCCATGAGCATGGAATGTTCTTCCATTTGTTTGTGTCCTCTTTTATTTCCTTGAGCAGTGGTTTGTAGTTCTCCTTGAAGAGGTCCTTCACATCCCTTGTAAGTTGGATTCCTAGGTATTTTATTCTCTTTGAAGCAATTGTGAATGGGAGTTCACCCATGATTTGGCTCTCTGTTTGTCTGTTGTTGGTGTATAAGAATGCTTGTGATTTTTGTACATTGATTTTGTATCCTGAGACTTTGCTGAAGTTGCTTATCAGCTTAAGGAGATTTTGGGCTGAGACAATGGGGTTTTCTAGATAAACAATCATGTCGTCTGCAAACAGGGACAATTTGACTTCCTCTTTTCCTAATTGAATACCCTTTATTTCCTTCTCCTGCCTGATTGCCCTGGCCAGAACTTCCAACACTATGTTGAATAGGAGCGGTGAGAGAGGGCATCCCTGTCTTGTGCCAGTTTTCAAAGGGAATGCTTCCAGTTTTTGCCCATTCAGTATGATATTGGCTGTGGGTTTGTCATAGATAGCTCTTATTATTTTGAAATACGTCCCATCAATACCTAATTTATTGAGAGTTTTTAGCATGAAGGGTTGTTGAATTTTGTCAAAGGCTTTTTCTGCATCTATTGAGATAATCATGTGGTTTTTGTCTTTGGCTCTGTTTATATGCTGGATTACATTTATTGATTTGCGTATATTGAACCAGCCTTGCATCCCAGGGATGAAGCCCACTTGATCATGGTGGATAAGCTTTTTGATGTGCTGCTGGATTCGGTTTGCCAGTATTTTATTGAGGATTTTTGCATCAATGTTCATCAAGGATATTGGTCTAAAATTCTCTTTTTTGGTTGTGTCTCTGCCCAGCTTTGGTATCAGGATGATGCTGGCCTCATAAAATGAGTTAGGGAGGATTCCCTCTTTTTCTATTGATTGGAATAGTTTCAGAAGGAATGGTACCAGTTCCTCCTTGTACCTCTGGTAGAATTCGGCTGTGAATCCATCTGGTCCTGGACTCTTTTTGGTTGGTAAACTATTGATTATTGCCACAATTTCAGATCCTGTTATTGGTCTATTCAGAGATTCAACTTCTTCCTGTTTTAGTCTTGGGAGAGTGTATGTGTCGAGGAATGTATCCATTTCTTCTAGATTTTCTAGTTTATTTGCGTAGAGGTGTTTGTAGTATTCTCTGATGGTAGTTTGTATTTCTGTGGGATCGGTGGTGATATCCCCTTTATCATTTTTTATTGTGTCTATTTGATTCTTCTCTCTTTTTTTCTTTATTAGTCTTGCTAGCGGTCTATCAATTTTGTTGATCCTTTCAAAAAACCAGCTCCTGGATTCATTGATTTTTTGAAGGGTTTTTTGTGTCTCTATTTCCTTCAGTTCTGCTCTGATTTTAGTTATTTCTTGCCTTCTGCTAGCTTTTGAATGTGTTTGCTCTTGCTTTTCTAGTTCTTTTAATTGTGATGTTAGGGTGTCAATTTTGGATCTTTCCTGCTTTCTCTTGTAGGCATTTAGTGCTATAAATTTCCCTCTACACACTGCTTTGAATGCGTCCCAGAGATTCTGGTATGTGGTGTCTTTGTTCTCGTTGGTTTCAAAGAACATCTTTATTTCTGCCTTCATTTCGTTATGTACCCAGTAGTCATTCAGGAGCAGGTTGTTCAGTTTCCATGTAGTTGAGCGGCTTTGAGTGAGATTCTTAATCCTGAGTTCTAGTTTGATTGCACTGTGGTCTGAGAGATAGTTTGTTATAATTTCTGTTCTTTTACATTTGCTGAGGAGAGCTTTACTTCCAACTATGTGGTCAATTTTGGAATAGGTGTGGTGTGGTGCTGAAAAAAATGTATATTCTGTTGATTTGGGGTGGAGAGTTCTGTAGATGTCTATTAGGTCTGCTTGGTGCAGAGCTGAGTTCAATTCCTGGGTATCCTTGTTGACTTTCTGTCTCGTTGATCTGTCTAATATTGACAGTGGGGTGTTAAAGTCTCCCATTATTAATGTGTGGGAGTCTAAGTCTCTTTGTAGGTCACTCAGGACTTGCTTTATGAATCTGGGTGCTCCTGTATTGGGTGCATAAATATTTAGGATAGTTAGCTCCTCTTGTTGAATTGATCCCTTTACCATTATGTAATGGCCTTCTTTGTCTCTTTTGATCTTTGTTGGTTTAAAGTCTGTTTTATCAGAGACTAGGATTGCAACCCCTGCCTTTTTTTGTTTTCCATTTGCTTGGTAGATCTTCCTCCATCCTTTTATTTTGAGCCTATGTGTGTCTCTGCACATGAGATGGGTTTCCTGAATACAGCACACTGATGGGTCTTGACTCTTTATCCAACTTGCCAGTCTGTGTCTTTTAATTGCAGAATTTAGTCCATTTATATTTAAAGTTAATATTGTTATGTGTGAATTTGATCCTGTCATTATGATGTTAGCTGGTGATTTTGCTCATTAGTTGATGCAGTTTCTTCCTAGTCTCGATGGTCTTTACATTTTGGCATGATTTTGCAGCGGCTGGTACCGGTTGTTCCTTTCCATGTTTAGTGCTTCCTTCAGGAGCTCTTTTAGGGTAGGCCTGGTGGTGACAAAATCTCTCAGCATTTGCTTGTCTGTAAAGTATTTTCTTTCTCCTTCACTTATGAAGCTTAGTTTGGCTGGAAATGAAATTCTGGGTTGAAAATTCTTTTCTTTAAGAATGTTGAATATTGGCCCCCACTCTCTTCTGGCTTGTAGGGTTTCTGCCGAGAGATCTGCTGTTAGTCTGATAGGCTTCCCTTTGAGGGTAACCCGACCTTTCTCTCTGGCTGCCCTTAACATTTTTTCCTTCATTTCAACTTTGGTGAATCTGACAATTATGTGTCTTGGAGTTGCTCTTCTCGAGGAGTATCTTTGTGGCGTTCTCTGTATTTCCTGAATCTGAACGTTGGCCTGCTTTGCTAGATTGGGGAAGTTCTCCTGGATAATATCCTGCAGAGTGTTTTCCAACTTGGTTCCATTCTCCACATCACTTTCAGGTACACCAATCAGACGTAGATTTGGTCTTTTCACATAGTCCCATATTTCTTGGAGGCTTTGCTCATTTCTTTTTATTCTTTTTTCTCTAAACTTCCCTTCTCGCTTCATTTCATTCATTTCATCTTCCATTGCTGATACCCTTTCTTCCAGTTGATCGCATCGGCTCCTGAGGCTTCTGCATTCTTCACGTAGTTCTCGAGCCTTGGTTTTCAGCTCCATCAGCTCCTTTAAGCACTTCTCTGTATTGGTTATTCTAGTTATACATTCTTCTAAATTTTTTTCAAAGTTTTCAACTTCTTTGCCTTTGGTTTGAATGTCCTCCCGTAGCTCAGAGTAATTTGATCGTCTGAAGCCTTCTTCTCTCAGCTCGTCAAAATCATTCTCCATCCAGCTTTGTTCTGTTGCTGGTGAGGAACTGCGTTCCTTTGGAGGAGGAGAGGCGCTCTGCGTTTTAGAGTTTCCAGTTTTTCTGTTCTGTTTTTTCCCCATCTTTGTGGTTTTATCTACTTTTGGTCTTTGATGATGGTGATGTACAGATGGGTTTTCGGTGTAGATGTCCTTTCTGGTTGTTAGTTTTCCTTCTAACAGACAGGACCCTCAGCTGCAGGTCTGTTGGAATACCCTGCCGTGTGAGGTGTCAGTGTGCCCCTGCTGGGGGGTGCCTCCCAGTTAGGCTGCTCGGGGGTCAGGGGTCAGGGACCCACTTGAGGAGGCAGTCTGCCCGTTCTCAGATCTCCAGCTGCGTGCTGGGAGAACCACTGCTCTCTTCAAAGCTGTCAGACAGGGACACTTAAGTCTGCAGAGGTTCCTGCTGCCTTTTTGTTTGTCTGTGCCCTGCCCCCAGAGGTGGAGCCTACAGAGGCAGGCAGGCCTCCTTGAGCTGTGGTGGGCTCCACCCAGTTCGAGCTTCCCGGCTGCTTTGTTTACCTAAGCAAGCCTGGGCAATGGCGGGCGCCCCTCCCCCAGCCTCGTTGCCGCCTTGCAGTTTGATCTCAGACTGCTGTGCTAGCAATCAGCGAGATTCCGTGGGCGTAGGACCCTCTGAGCCAGGTGTGGGATATAGTCTCGTGGTGCGCCGTTTCTTAAGCCGGTCTGAAAAGCGCAATATTCGGGTGGGAGTGACCCGATTTTCCAGGTGCGTCCATCACCCCTTTCTTTGACTCGGAAAGGGAACTCCCTGACCCCTTGCGCTTCCCAGGTGAGGCAATGCCTCGCCCTGCTTCGGCTCGCGCACGGTGCGCACACACACTGGCCTGCGCCCACTGTCTGGCACTCCCTAGTGAGATGAACCCGGTACCTCAGATGGAAATGCAGAAATCACCCGTCTTCTGCGTCGCTCACGCTGGGAGCTGTAGACCGGAGCTGTTCCTATTCCCTATTTTTTCTTAAAACAAAATCATTCAGCAACTGTTGGAGGGTGGAAAATGAATAGTGCTAGTCAACTCTGTAAGAAATACGTCCAGAATGCTAACTCCAATCACTCTGAAACACATTTTTCGTTTCTGTAACATTCTGCCGTCCTGTAGTTTGCATCCTGTTCTAATGTGGGCAAATCCTCCATTGTCTTGGATCTTTTTTACAAAAACAACCCTACCTTTCCACTTTAATTGATACCTGAAACAGCCATTCCCAAAAAGCATCTCCTGTACAACCCTCTATTCTTTGATTCTCCACTGCCTTCTCTGGAGAGGTCTCCCCAGCTCGTGTGCTCATTTCTAAATAACTGCTCAACTTTCCTAACCCAATCATCTTTCCTCTTGTTAAATACATAGTGTCCACTAAAAGATCCTTTAACCATTTACTTGATTATTATAAAGAGCCATGCTCCAGGACACATGCTCATCTCTCTCCACCATTTCAGCAATGGGCTCATGTCTTTCTTCTCTACTGAGTCCCCTGATGTCATCTGCAGTGAATCTGAGTGATGGTCATGAACTGTACCCCAAACTCATAGTTCTGTAATTTTTTTTTTTTTTTTGAGATGGAGTCTCTCTCTGTCACCCAGGCTGGAGTGCAGTGGCATGATCTCGGCTCACTGCAAGCTCTGCCCCCCGGGTTCACGCCATTCTCCTGCCTCAGCCTCCTGAGTAGCTGGGACTACAGGCGCCTGCCACCACGCCCGGCTAATTTTTTGTATTTTTAGTAGAGACGGGGTTTCATCGTGTTAGCCAGGATGATCTCGATCTCCTGGCCTCATGATCCACCCACCTCGGCCTCCCAAAGTGCTGGGATTACAGGTGTGAGCCACTGCACCTGGCCTCAGTATACACATTTTAAATTATTGGAATGGAATGGGATACATTCATAAGCTAGTATGCTACCTACTGAAGTATGGCGGTTGTATTGTTATGCAGTTGTTTGAGTGGAAAGCTGAACAAGCTCCTTTCTTCAGAGAACACTTTTTTTTTTTTAAACTGAAAAAAAAAATCCTATGGTAACTATGGTTATTCAGATGGGTATTTGGCAGAAATTTTCTTACAAAGTGAGCTTGTCAGTTCAAGGAATTCAACTGACATTATTTGCTTCCAGTGACAAAATCTGTGCTTTCATAAGAAAATTGGAGTTTTGAAAACTTTATATTAGTTACTGTGAGCTTGAAGCTTCATGATAGTTAGAATGCTTGTTGATTTGATGACAATAGCAAATAGAATGTTTTATATTATGAAATGAAATATGTTAATATTGAAAGATCTGCATAACTCAGTGAAACAATATTTTTCAAATGATCAACGCATGATGTTATTCAATTATGCAAGAGTAAAAGACATATTCCAAGTGCAGGATAGGCTACAGGATTCTAATATACCAGAGAAAACATTCATAAATAGAGTTTCAGACTTTACATTGCAAATAATCTTTAAGAATTTTCTCCTTGTTCAGTATTGGTGTGGTATCAAAAAATATCACAGCTTTCTCAAAGGGCTATTAAAATTATTCTTTCCTTTCCAATACTATATCAGAGTAATTTTCTTCATATATTTCTACCAAAATGTTTCACAACAGATTGACTACAGAAGCTGGTATAAGAATACAGATTTTCAATTAAGTTAGACATTAAAGATATTTGCAAAAAAAAAAAACATAAATCAGTGCCTCTCTTTTCATACTTTTTTACTAGAAAATATAGTTTTCTAATGAAAATGTGATTTATGTTTACATGTAATGAGTTTATTTCACTGGCTTGTGCAATATTTTGATCATTTAGGAGGTATGGAGGTAGGAGTAACTAATTAAAAGAACTGTGAAATTTGTTAGATGTTGCTAAATCCTATCAATGTATTGAAAAGAGAAAAATGTCAGGTTCAGGTCAACTAATTACCAATTTATGGCATGATGTGAAAATCAAAAGGCCTTCATGTCAGTATTTAATGAGGCCCTGGTTTCTGCAACTAAGGAGGAGTCTAAGCTGAAGACCAGGTCAAGGACTTACACGTAAGAGAAAAAGAACTTTCAGAAGACTTTAGCCAGAGTCCAGTGAAATCTAGTGCATCAAAGCCAGAGCCCTGAAGGTAAGAAACAAGACTCTGAAATTTGGGAAAGGGCTATCCAGGTGGCTGCATACAGGTACATGCATCATCAGTCCATGCAGATCTCTGAACCTCATGGTCTGCATGGGCTGTTATCTCATTGCTTCTTACTAGAAGACAGCAACTATCCACTTGCATGAAGTTGAAGTGGAGAGCTCATGCCTTGAAAGACAACACTTATTATCCTCAAGGTCTGCCCACTCTGCCTCTTTCATGGCAATGGACCTATAATAAGATCCACTGTTGGCATGGACCAACTGGGAAGCATGAGTTCTGCTTTGCAAGGAGAATAGTATAAAGGTGGAGCTGCAGGGTCTTTAATAGGCACTACTAGCAATGGGATGAACTTTTTTTTTTGAGATGGAGTTTCACTCTGTCACCCAGGCTGGAATGCAGTGGTGCAATCTTGGCTCACTGTAACCTCCACCTCCCAGGTTCAAGCAATTCTCCTGCCTCAGCCTCCCAAGTAGCTGGGACTACAGGCACATGCCACCATGCCCGGCTAGTTTTTGTATTTTTAGTAGAGACAGGGTTACACCTTATTGGTCAGGCTGGTCTTGAACTCCTGGCCTCAGGCGATCCACCAGCCTCAGCCTCCCAAAGTGCTGGGATTACAGGCGTGAGCCACCACGGCCAGCCCGGGAAGAACATTTATATAAATGAACCTTGAGTGTGCTCTGCAGAGGAAGGCAGACAGACTATAAAACTGATTAGGGAGAGGTTGGCTGATAGGATGTATTCTCAAGATTCAGGATTCGACTAATTGGCAAGAGCTTCTGGAGCTGGTGTACTTGGTCTTAATGGATAGAATGGTCATTGAAGAATTAGGGGAAAAAATAAATGGCTGATGTTAAATGATATAGACTCCAGAAATGCCTTAGCAACTTATTGAAGAAGGGACCAAAAAGCTCAGATCAATAAGCACGCTGAAATTAATCTACTCTAAGAAACATAAGAATACTCCGGCTACTAACATGGATGAACCTGAAAGACATTAAGCTAAGTGACACAAGCTGGACACAGAGAAATACTGCATGATCTCATGTATATGTGGAATCTAGAAAAGTTGAACTCATAAAAGTAGATTACGAAATGGTGGTTGCTGGGGGAGTGGGGAAAATGGAGAGATGTTGGTCGAAGCAAACAAAATTTCAGTTATGTAGGATGAATAAGATCTACAGATCTAATATCTGTAAATATCTGTAAATCAAGTGATGCTACCACACTGAAATTTCTCATGGTCTCTAACACCATGAGACCATGTTTTTCTCACCTCACATCGTTTTCCTTGAGCACTATGCCATCTTTGAGTAAACTGAATTCATACAGTAGCTCCCTTTTAAATATTTGGGATTCAACATTCTTACATATTTCAATAAACTTGTGCTCTTTCTTTGACTTGACTCAATGTTATGCTTCTTACTTACTACTCACCCACACATCTCAGCTGTCCGTGTAACAGGTACTGCCCTGAGAGCGTAAGTATATTCTGATAGATCAAAATTAATCTTACTCATGGATCAAAGTCTGGTAAGATAAGAATATTTATAACAATCAAATCCTTCCACTGAGAACAACTACAAAAGCTAGAAAAAAACTTTTTCATAAGCTATTAGAAAGCTTCGGGAAGCAATCCATGCAGAAAGATTGCTTTGAAGATCCAAGAGGCTGAAAGAAGGTACACTAGGGTGAGTCAGCTAGGCTCTGCCACTTTTCTATACAGCCTCATCCGTAAGCAGTCAAGGGGCTAAGTGGCAAAATAAAAGGGGTGACTCAGAATCTTGAACAGCATTACAATAGCAGCATCGTAATTGTATTTCAGCAGTATTACAAATACAAAGACTGGAGGTCAGGGCTACCAAGGCAGCAAGGGCTTGAGGTGCCGAGATCCCGGAGAAAGGGACCCTAAGATATGAGTCTCACATTCTGCATTAATATTACGCATAGACATTTGCTAATGCCAAAGGTGGGCAGTGGGACAGCAGGCATACAGGAGCAGTTCCAGGCCAAATAGCAGTGCAGCTGCTAGCGGATGCATGATGCTGTGAGATAATAATTGGGGGTTAGGTCAGGCTTTTAGTTGAGACCCCTTGAGGTCTACGAATCAGGAGGATAGGCACTCCTAGAAACAGACACACTATTACAGATGCTAAAACTTAGTCTGCCATGAAAAAGTTAATACTTTCTGCAGAAATAAAGTATTATCCAAAATTCTCCATAATTGTTCACACACAATAGCTGACATCCAATTAAAATCTTGAGGCATCCTGTAAAATAGGACAAGAAACACAGAAAATAGAGGCAGATTCTGAGGTGATCTAGGCGTTGGAGTCTTCAGATAGAGTATTTAAGGTAACGATATTAACATATTCAGAAAGCTAGAAATGAAAATTCCAAAGCTGAAAACATATACTGTAATTAAAATTAAGCACTCAACTAACTGTAGTAGGTTAGACAGAAGAGAAGAAAGGATGAGTCTGCTAGAAGATAGGTAAAATATCAGACTAAAACTCAGAGAAAATACAGAAAATATACATAGAACATTCTAGAACAGCCTAAAATACATGTAGTTTGATTCTTAGAATTACGAATTAAAAAGAATAGGTCAGAGCAATATATCAACCCAAAGATTCAAACTTTAGCAAACAACAGAATAACAACGAAATCATATACAGTCATAGCAAAAGAAAACTGCTGAAAAGAAAGACAAACTTTTAAAAGCACCTAGAACAAAGGACAAACTTTTCTCAAAGGAAAAATAATGTTTGCTATTTGACTTTTTGACAGAAAATATAGCAGCCATGTTTTGACAGAAAATATATGACTTTTTGACAGAAAATATGGCAGCCACAATGTTCTCACTTAATGAGAACATGATGTGCCTGTCCCCACAAAAATGTTGACCCGTTATCCTGTATTGAGCAACATTTTCTTAAAATGCAGGTGGAATAAAGATATTTTCAGAAAAACAAATATTAAGACAATTTGTCACCATTAGATGAACATAAAATTAAATATGAGGAGTACTTTTTAAACAAGAAGTATGATCCAAGCTGGAAGCTCTAAAATTAGGAACTAAAGAGCAAAAGAATGGTATTGTATAGATGAATCTAAAATATTGATTTTAAATAACAATATTGCCATATGGGGATTAAAATATATGTATAATAAAAACATATCTTGAAAGTGGCATAAAAGCCAATGAAGTCAGTTTTGTAAAGATCTCACATTGTTCACCAAGTGGTAAGAGCACTGATTCATAGTTATGAATGCATGTTCTACACTGAAAGATGCTAATTGAATAGCAAAATAATGTGTGACTGGCTAATAGGAAAAATATAAGAAATATTTGATTACTCACAAAGAAAACATGAAGAATATATAATTACTGACAATATACTAAATATAAAATAATATCTCAATATGGAAATAGAAGATTGAAAAATAAGAAATAACTCAATGTCAATAATATATAATGTAATTATTTTCATATAATGGAATATTATACAACAATGGAAATACAAAGTCTATGATAAAGATAAAATAAGTAAATTACAGAAACATAATGTTGAGAAAAGATGCCTGATGCAAAAGATTCTACATGCATGAGATTAAAAAAGAAAACAAAACTAAAACATGAGCTACCAGTTAAAATGGTGATTCATTCTGGGAGAAAGTTAAGTGTAGGGATGGAGTCAGGAAATTTCTGGGGTGCTGGTATGCTTGATATTTTGATATGGGTCTTGGTTACACAATCTTATCTTGTGAAATTTCATTAAACTGCACATCTGTGATTTGTGCAATTTGCTGAATCTATTTTATACTAATTAAAATAAGAAACTTTACCAATAAAACAATGAGTGCTCTATTTCTAAAGATTTCAGATCCCATCGAGCATTCTTTGAAACACGAAAAACCAGTGTTGTCACTATTAGCTCTCAGCAGCACAATCTGTTACTTTTTTCTGCTTCTTTATCTTTTCTTCCATCCCAGCTCTATGAAATAGTTTATTATGTGTTAGACAAGTCCCCACTTAAGTCTCTTTAAAAAAAATTTAATAGTGTCTTCACTAAGGGAAAATCCATCTACATATATTTTAAAAGCTGGTAATTGGTTTATCTGATAAGCCAGGACATACATATTGCTCACAGTGATGACGATAGTTATTTTTAATAACATTTATTGAACACTTCATTTATACCAGGTATTGTTTCAATCACTCACGTACATTACCGTGTTATCCCTTGCAAAAATCCTATGATATAAGAACATGCTTCAAAAGACACCAATAGCCCAGCTAAGCTAGAATTACATTGATTTAATATATTCAGGGCACTTGAAAAAATAATATAAAACATGTTTATAACTGAATAAGAGGATTGCTATATGTATAAAAATCATTTTACGAATATGAAAATCATTTTCTCAAACACCTTTCCAATTCCTGGCACCCATTTCTTACTCTGCAGTAGCTTTAAAAATGGTTTGTTCTGGCAGGGTACAGTGGCTCACGCCTGTAATCCCAGCAGTTTGGGAAGCCAAGGCAGGCAGATCACAAGGTCAAGAGATCAAGACCATCCTGGCCAACATGGTGAAACCCCATCTCTACTGAAAAAAAATAAGTAAATACAAAAATTAGCTGGGCCTGGTGGCACGTGCCTGTAGTGTCAGCTACTTGGGAGACTGAGGCAGGACCCAGGAGGTGGAGGTCGCAGCCAAGATCGCGCCACTGCACTCCAGCCTGGCGACAGAGCAAGACTCTGTCTCAAAAAAAAAAAAAATAAAAAAATAAAAGGTTTGTTCTGAATGTAAGTTCCTTCATTAGCTTCTCTGCCATTACCTCATCATTTTCTTCCTGGCCATGTTATTTTCCTTTTTGTTTTGGGACTAAAGGAAGTATTTGTACCTTGCAGGAATTTTTCACATCATACCTATAAATTAGAATATGGTAATACTTTAAACCTCATTAATATTGTCACTTGGTAATTTTTTTTAAAAAAAGGATCTGTTGCTGGGGAGAAAAACTGCTTAATAAAATAGCCATATTGATCTCAATTTTATAATAACCTTTGCTCAAAATGTTTGCTCTCCAAGAGTACCAAAGAATAAGCAAGGGCTTTTTATCAAGACATTAAACTTAATATAATTAGATGTTTATATGGTTTCCTGGCATTGGAGACAGATGGGAAAACAGACATTAGTAAGGTCATGGCCATTATCAGTAATCATTACCTCTTCACATTTCTCTTTGCTTTACTAATGGGAATTTCCCAAAGGCGACCCTTTGTCATTTTAACTGTGGTTTGCACTTTAGTGGTTTTAGAAAATTATTTTTCTGATATATTTTTAAAAAATATTCCTACCAGTCCTCTGTCTACTCTTAGCTGCCACTAAGCCTCTTCTCGTCCCCTTTTCCTATGTCATTAATTAATTGACTTAAAAATAAGCTGACTGCATCTATGATGAACTGAATTCTAGAAACAAGCCTCACACCTGTTGTTAGCTCTCTTCTTAATGATTTGACTGCAGTTCATGAATGTGCTCCTAATGGTTGTTAAGGAAACCAGAAATTATTAACTCATAAAGTGAAGACTTATTAGTGTGTTACTGCTTCCTCCAAATTGTTCTCATTTGATCTCTTTGCTAGAAGGTGGGGAAAAAGGAATGGCTGCTCTTGAAAAACAATTAATTATTCCAAGAGATGCATTCATATATGTTCTGATAGGCTGATTCTCCTGAAATATCAAGTTGTAAAGTTTAGGTTTACAGAACATCCAAATAACTGAATAATTTAGCCAATTTGATTCATGTTGTGACAACACACTCACACATCATTTATAGGAATTGCTCTTGTTAAACAAAACATATAGGAGGAGCTTAACTTTTACCTTATATTCAAAAATCATTTCTACTTTGGTAAAAATTAAGGTATGGTTTTAAAGTTCAATAGCATATGATAATAATACTAGCCAGTATTTACCAAGTGCTTACTAGTAGCTGGGCAAATATGCTGAATACTTGATACCATATCATGTTCACAAAAAAGCTTATTAAGCATAAACTATCATTTCCCCATTTTCTTGATTAGGCAACAAAGCTGTAAGAAGTTTAGGTATCTTGCCCCGGGCCACTCAATTGGTGAAAGTCGGAGACAAGTTTAGACGCAGATGTGTTAGACTCCAGTATTCACCCTTGCAACCACTTATCTGAGACTTCTAGCTCCTCTGGAACTCCTACCCAGTTATTGGTTGCTATGCTGGAGAATTGCATTATAATTGTGCTGTAAGCACATTGCAGTTTTTTAAAAAAATCATATATGTAACATGAAAACTGGCAGCATTGTGCGTTGTTTTGTTTTGTTTCCAGTGTGTAAGGCCTTTTGAGTTCAGGCCCAGAAGAGGTAGAGTTGGGCTTTGCCAGGTTAGCATTTGCTAGGAAAATCTAGGAAGGTTTTCTTGAAAAGAGGGTCAAGGAAGTTTTAAAGTCTGGTTTCTAAGCTGTGTGAGGAGGAGAGTAAGGTGGGTGGAGTGATAGAGAAGTAGTGATAGGGTCTTGGTAAAATGGATGGAGTTGCCTCATACTCCTCGCAGAGCATGCAACAGGGGTGTGATTCGCTTCTTAGGTGCCCTGCTGCTGAAGCCCTTAGGGGGAGCATGCAGACAGGCAGTCGTGGGGAGTGTTTTTGGGCTCCAACCCCACAGCAGCATCTAGGGTTGAGTGCTTACAGCTCCTGAGGTCCCAGTGGGTGTGTGTTAACAGTGTACTCTTTCAGTTTTGCCATCTTCAAGCAGCTTGTGTGAGTCAGCTCCGTTAGACCCTCTGCCTTATAGCAAGGACAGATGGCTTTCTGTATCCTGGGGATCTTTCCCTAGTGTATAGGAAAAATCAGATCACACATAGGCTTGGAGGATGGGTACAAGGTTTTACTGAGTGGTGGAGGTAGCTCTCAGTGAGGCGGATGGGGAGCCAGAAGGGGGATGGAGTGGGAAGGTCGTCTTCCCCTGGAGTCGGGCTGCTCAGTGGCCAGATTCTCCTCCAACCAACCCCAACTGAATTCTGCATCATCCCACTGTTGATGGCCTGCTGGTGTCTGCTGGTGTCTGTCAGTGTGTTGTTCTGCTCCTTTCAATGTCCCACCACTTGTGTCTGTGCCCACTAGGGTCTCAGGTTTTTATGGGCACAGGATGGGGGGGCATGGTAGACCAGAGTGGTCTTGGAAAGTGCAACATTTCAGCATGAAAACAGGAGTGCCTGTTCTCACTTACGTCTGTGGGCAGAGGACCGAAGGTGGAGCCCTTACCAGGGACCCCACCATTTTCTACCCAGCCCTCAAAGCCCCATTCTGGTATCATTGGGTCATCCATATAGATGGTGAAGGCACCAAGAATGTTGGCAAGCATAATAGAAAAAAGAAAGACAGTTGGCCAGATGCTAAAATTTTTCAACGAGAAAAAGAGAATAGTAGAAAGCTTATTAAATAATCACCATAAAAAGCATTGTAGGTGGAATAATCTGATGGCTTTTGAGGATATTTTGAGGAAGAAGGGAACAGGTGTAGAGATACAGCTGTCAGAAGCCAAGCAAACACCAAAATCATTTTACGTTATAGTTGTACTTGGTTAGTGAATGGAGCAATAGCCACCATTTGAGAGGCATGTAGGGAAGACAGTATCCTTGGGGGAGCTAAGTCTATTTATTTTTTTTTTGAGACAGAATCTTGATCTCTTGCCAGGCTGGAGTGCAGTTGTGAGATCTCAGGCCACTGCAACCTCCACCTCCCGGGTTCAAGCGATTCTCCTGCCTCAACCTCCTGCGTAGCTGGGACTAGAGGCATGCACCATCACACCCAGCTAATTTTTGTATTTTTGGTAGAGACAGGGTTTCACCATGTTGGCCAGGATGGTCTTGATCTCTTGACCTCGTGATCTACCAAAAGTGCTGGGATTACAGGCATGAGCCACCACGCCCAGCCCTAAGTCTATTTTTTTTTTAAAAAAGGCTTTATTTTATGTTTGGGGGTACATGTGAAGGTTTGTGACATAGGTAATCTCCTCTCATGGGGGTTTGCTGTACAGATTATTTCATCACTCACGTATTAAACCCCCTACCAAGCAGTTGTATTTTTCGCTCCTTTCCCACCTCCCACCCTCCACCTTCAGGTAGACCCCAGTGTCTGTTGTTTCCTCTTTGTGTTCTTATGTTCTCATAATTTAACTCCCACTTATAAGTGAGAACATGTGGTATTTGGTTTTCTGTTCCTGCATAAGTTCGCTAAGGACAATAGCCTCCAGCTCCATCCATGTTCCCGCAAAAGACATGATCTCGTTTTTGCTATAGCTGCATAGTATTCCATGGTGTATATGTACCACATTTTCTTTATCCAGTCTGTCATTGATGGGCATTTAGGTTGATTCCATGTCTTTGCTATTGCGAATAGAACTTCAGTGAACATTCACGTGCATGTGTCTTTATGGGAGAATTATTTATATTCCTCTGGGTATATACCCAGTAATGGGATTGCTGAGTCAAATGATATTTCTGCTTTTAGCTCTTTGAGAAATAGCCACACTGTCTTCCAGAATGGTTAAACTAATTTACACTCCCACCAACAGTGTATAAGCATTCGCTTTTCTCTGCAACCTCACCAGCATCTGTTATTTTTTGACTTTTTAATAATAGCCCTTCTGACTGGTATGAGATGGTATCTCATTGTGGTTTTGATTTGCATTTCTCTAATGATCAGTGGTTTGAACTGTTTTTTTTAATATATATACTTGTTGGCTGCATGATATACCATCTTTTGAAAAGTGTCTGTTCATGTCCTTTGTCCAAGTTTTAATGGAATTGTTTGTTTTTCCCTTGTAAATTTGTTTAAATCCTTATAGATACTGGATATTAGACCTTTGTCAGATGCATAGCTTGGGAACATTTTCTCCCATTCTCTAGGTTGTCTGTTTACTCTTTTGATTGTTTCTTTTGTTTTACAGAAACTCTTTAGTTAGATCACAATTGTCAATTTTTGCTTTCATTGTGATTCCACTTGGTATTTTTGGCTGTTCCTACGTCCAGGATGACATTGCCAAGGTTGTTCTCCAGGGTTTTTTTTTTTTTTTTAGTTTTAGGTGTATACATTTAAGCCTATAATCCACCTTGATTTGATTTTTGTATATGGTCTGAGGAAGGGGTACAGTTTCAGTCGTCTGCATATGGCTAGCCAGTTCTCCCAGCACCATTTATTGAATAGGGTATTCTTTTCCCAATGCTTGTAGTTGTAAGCTTTGTTGAAGAACAGATCGTTGTACATGTGTGGCCTTATTCTGGGCTCTCCATTCTGTCCCATCAGTCTATGTGCCTGTTTTTGTACCAGTTTCTAATAGAGGAATGGTTCTCAAAGTGTGGTCCCAAAACCAGCAGCATCAGCATCACCTGGGAACTTGAGGAAAATGCCAGTTCTAGGTCCTTACCACAGACCTACTAAATCAGAGAGACTGAGAGTGGAGACCCTCACCTGTGCTCTAACAAGCATTCAGGTGATTCTGGAGATGCATAAGTTTACAAAGCATTTGTGCTAAAGCAAGATGAGAAGAATTTTTAGATAAAAGGATTAACCTATTGGAGTATTTACTCGTGGCAGGGTATAAGATTTCAAAGGTCAGAGTGGGAGGGTTGGAAGAGTGATAGAACCAAGGGAGATAGAGGCATACACATACAAGATGGTAATGGATATCAGGGGACTTGGACTTCTGCTGGCAATTGGGATTGAGACCATTCATCTTCAGACTTTTAGAGGAAGTTAGAAAATCAGTGACAATTATAGTTTTAGCAGACGCAAGAACCCATCCTGTAAAGAAAATGTGAAGCTCTGAGCACCTGCCTTGAGTGTAATGTCTTCTGTGATTCCTTACCAGGATCAGAAGTAGAATCAGTTCAAGGATTGTAAAACAAAGGAAAGGAAACATGGTCAAAGGAAACCAAGACTTCTAAATTCAAATCCCCCTTTTGTATTGTACTATTCCATCCATTGATATCACCTTTAACTAGTTAGAAGCTGCACGATATGGTGTCTACTTTACTCAACATGCACCAAATATACCACAGAGCCAATTCATAGATTTTCACCCAAGTTTGTCCAAAGTGCTTTATTTACTCAACGTGCACCAAATATACCACAGAGCTAATTCATAGATTTTCACCCAAGTTTGTCCAAACTGCTTTATTTTTTTATTGTTGTTTTTCTGTTTTGTTTTGTTTTAGGCTTTTAGCAGCCTAAAGCCATGGTGTTTAGTTTCCATTTCTAGTGATAAATGGAAAAGAGGGATGAGGAAGGGGCTATAGTGGCTCAACCAAAAACAGAAACTAAGAACTAATGACTGTATTCTCTCCCTTGGACACCCCTGCAAACCCATATGGATGGGAATAGAATAAATAAATAAATAAATTTTCCTCTTCTAGAAAAAGCAGAAGAAATTTGTTAAAATCGGATGAAGGAATCTCAGGCTTCAAACAAAATCAGCATGAATCAATAATAATCAAAAGATAACAAGGACTGATCCTATAAGCCAACCTTCTTAGAACAGATTCCCTGTATCTGAGTAAAAATGTAATTTCTTGGAAACAGTCAATGCATCAAAATGATGCTTAATGTCCCTAGAGGGATATGAATCTATAGTACAGCCTTCAATCTTCACTCTTCTGCAATAACTGATTTGTACAACAGCTAGTGTTGTTCATCAATAACTCCCTAAGTGTCTTTCAATTCTGTATCATGCTGACTCCAAGTCATACGTTTCCATCCTAATCAATGATAATCAATGTTTGCTTTCCTAAAAAGGAGCTTGACTGGGGACACATCTTCAGAGAGAGAGAGTTCTATTTAAATGTCTTTAAAGAGCAAGAAGCCATAGTGTATAAAGGAACAAGTTGTAGAAAAATATTAGTAATTGAAAATAGGACAAGTACTAGTTATGGGCAATAATTTAGTCAATAAAAGCTGAAGATAATGTTTTTATATACTCCCAGTTTTCAACTAAACCAACTGGATCCTCTGATAGCCATTATGCTCAAACCACTCACCAGAACCAGTTTTCCGCTGGCCAGCCTTGCATCAATCCATCTTCTGGGCTGCTGAAAGGGAATGTTCCAATAGGCTCAAGCAGACAAGGAAGGTCCAAGTCTTTGCTGTTCTTTGGTTTTCTATATGCACATGTGTGTTCATGTTTGCAAGGACACACACACACACACACACACACACACACACACACACACCCTGCATTTACCAGTATCATTCAAAACTTCTTAGTGATCACCCACTGGCTATCTAAGGACAGAGGGTAATATCCTCCTAACAGAGATGCTATGGTCTGAGTGTGTTCCCCAAAACTCATGTGTTGGAAACTGAATACATACCCAGTGCAACAGTATTGGGAGGTGAGGCTTGATGGAAGGTGTTAAATCTTCATCAAGGCTCCACCTTCATTAATGAACTAATGCTACTATTAAAAGGGCTTGCAGGAGTGGGTTTTCTCTCAAGCACTTTTCTGCCATGTGAGGACATTGGGTTTATCCCCACTTGTCCTTCTGCCTTCTGCCATGTGAGGAGGGCATAGCAAGGAGGCCCTCACCAGATGTTGGTGTCTTGAGTTTGAACTTCCCAGCCTCCAGAACTGTGAGGAATAAATTTATGTTCTTTATAAATCACTCAGTCTATGGTAGTCCATTACAGCAGCATAAGACGATCCAAGATGAGATAATTTCACAAAAGGACAAAATACACTTAAATAACATAAATCAGGTAACAGTAGCAAAGCTAATATAAATGTATGTTTTCCTAATGGCTCAAAGTGCTTAATGCTTCATTTCTTTTGATTTATTCTTCTTTATATCAGATACTGTACTATGACTCTTCACAGAAAGAAAAATTGTATTTGTTTTGTCCAAAAGGTCATTTCCCAATTAGCAAGTTAAAAACAAAAACAAACAAAAATAAGGCCTAGAGAGCTTCTTACATTGGTCGAAGTCACATAGCCAATTACAGATAATGAAAGGGTATGGATAAACTCTATTTGGCTCTAAAAGCTGTTTGTACTTTTCCTACTATTGTCTTAAGAAGACGTGCTGTCTTAAGATGCACATGCCATAGGGAAGAATCAATATCATCATTATGATAAAATTTACTAAGACATTTCTCTGTTCTAGGCACCGTTTTAAATGCTTACACACACTAACTTATTTAAATCCAACCACAACTGAAATAGAATAGTATATATATCTTGGACATGATAGAAATAAGGCACAGAGAATAACTTGTCTAAGGTCACATACCTGAACTACAGCTGAGACGGAGTAAAATTTCAACAGGTGACATAGGAAGCGGCAGTTTGGCTATTTGCAATTAGCAATAAAGACTGAAGCTAAACCCCTGGGGTTAAAATCAAGGCTCTACCCCTTACAGCTGGGTTACCATAGGGCCACTAATTAAGCACTCTACACTTCAATTTTCTCATCTATAAAAACAGGCATAATAATAGTACCCACTTCACTAATGGATTTGTGAAGTTAATATTAGAAGTGTGTAGAACAGTGGTTAGCACTAGCCCTTAATAAAACAATAACAGCATCCACACCATCTACTAACCCTTGGAAGCACATGCCCAAAATACTGCTACTCTTCAGGACTGGATTGTGGGTATGTCTCATTTGTAACAGTGTAGTCCCTAAAGACAGAGGGCAAGACCTTTAGAAAACGTTCTTCAGCACAAAGACTTCTCAATTATACTTGATGCTGTCCCCATGCAAATGTAATCTCTTCTGCCCTCAAAGATCTGTGGAGAAATACTAAAAATTCTTTTCTACCCCACCCTCATTATTTATAGAGGGTGTGTGTGTGTGTATGTGTTTTCTCAGCCTCACCATTACTAACATTCGGCGTCAGATCATTCTTTATTATGGTGGGTAGGGGGGCGGATTTCCTGTGCATGGTAGAATATTTACGGAGTTACTGATGAACAACACTAGCTTTTGTACAAATCAGTTATTGCAGAAGAGTGAAGCTTGATGGATGTAATACTGATTCACATCCCTCTAGGGTCATTAAGCATCGTTTTGATGGATGGACTGTTTCCAAAAAATTACATTTTTACTCAGATACAGGGAATCCATTGGTCTTTACCCACTTAGATACCAGTAGCACAGATTTTTTCCCTCCAATTGTGACAATCAATCCAAAATGCCTCTAGATGCTACCAAATAACCCTCTGTTGGACAGAGTGCCCCCCACACTGTTAAGAACTACTGCTCTATACCAAAGACCAAGTCCCTTCTCTGCTTGTGATCCATGAGTCATCTAGTATGTTCTGGAAGGGACATCCACCCAGACTCTTCAGGTTGCCATTATGTTTAAGTTACCTATGTATTTGCCAGTAGGGTCCAGCCCAGTAACTGGCATACAGCAGGTACTCAGGAGGCATTGGTTGAATGTTAAATATTGGAATTGTGTTAATTATACAGCAGAATTAAAATGTGGTCATGTTGATATTAAATTAGATAGAGCATATTTATGTTCCATGCCCAATCTTTGAAATCAAAGGTCAGATTAAACACACCAACCTCTTAACATTAAACAAAGTGGGTTCTTTACAACAAGGGCAAAAATGACTTCTGTTTACAGTAGGGACAGGCCTCTTAGGTGGCTTCAGTTACTTATGAAGATTATCATCCACCCATCCCAGAGTTCGGAGAGGTGTACTTAAATTTCATTCCTAAGCCATCACATCACTTCCCACTATTAGGAGCAGGAAAGCACCTGTCCATTAGAACAGCAGTCAAGATTTCTAAACAGAATAGTAGAGAGGGCAGTGAGGGAAATTAGTTTCACTATTTGCCACATAGGTGTATTTCTGTCCTGGAGACTTGAGCTCAGAGCAGCTAGACTACTATAGTATTTAATCCAACCCATTTTTTTTTTCTTGAGTTACGAATTTTACTGATTCTGCTAACTGCTTAAACAGGAATAAATTGGTGGGAGATGATTGGTACATACATTGTAATATCATTATACTTTACACTTGTGAATACTATTCTCTCCCATTCTTGGAGTGATTGGCTGAATTATCATAAAGAATTAAGCCAAACCCTCCCTTCTCTTCCACTTAAGAATTGTATGACACTTTTGACTCAGAAAATCACTATCACTTGATCAATCTTTGAAGAGGCAGAGGGAAGAGGGAGAGAGGCATCACATTTGTTATCATGAGTCACACTTGATGTGAGCTCTGCTCTTTTTCAGCAGTTAAGAAATTGGTACTTTTTTCTTTTTTTAAAGAAAACAGGCTGAAACATTCGCTGCTTTTGAAAGGTAATTTAGCACTGTCAAGCTTATGACATGTCAGAATTCAGCGTAGGAATTTTGTTTATTTAATCCAAAATCAGAATGTCAAGCACATTTTGGAGAAATAATAACAGGAAGAGTCCCTGTCTCTAGAAAGAGAGCTGCCAAACTTTGAAGCAATTTACGTAAACATTGTAATCAGCTCTTGCAAAAAATTTCCACCTTACAAAGCTAGTTGTTACGAACTTGCTCTATCGTAAAAATGTTTTCAGGGAAAGTGAAACTGGAACTGAAAAGTTCAAAAAGTGATGATCTAAGAAATAAAAACCCACTCTAGAAGAGTCTTTATATTGGATTCTCTTTGATAGGCATAAGGGAAAAAAATCGTACTTTCAAATTTTTTTTCCAAGGATTCAGTATGCTGAAAAATCAAAACACTTAGTAAACAGTGTAATTCCTCTGGTGCTAGAACTCAAAGAATTACAGTAATGTTTTTCAAAAGAGTATATACTGAATAAGGGAACCCACAAAAAATCCATAGAACTTGCATTGTACATTTTGATTAGAAACTAAATCTTTTAAACAGATAAGTTCCAGTTATTTAACTAGTCATGTCGGCGCCCAAGTCGCACCATCTTGTAGGCAAAGTAAACACCTTTCACATTTAATTTTGTAAAATAAACATTCTTCTATGGCTTTAGAGTTGCAAACAGATTTGGGTCTAGTTGGAAATTCAAAGTGAAATATCATACTGTCACTGTGCTTCAGTGTTAAAAGAGAAATTAAAATAATGTTGGAAAAGACTAGCCAGAGGGAAAATAATTTCTTGGCGCCATACTGCCTTCTCTTTCTCCACACCAAATCCCACCCAAAAGCCACATGACATTCACTGTCCTCTATGCCTCTCTCTGATTGTCTCAAGGAGCCCTTTTAGTGTGGCTCCCCAGCCAACTCTCCCCTTTCCAGAGAGCTCTTCTTGTTTTAGATCCATCCCTCCTTCCTTTTTATCTTTCCTCATCCCAATTATTGTGACCCAGGATCCCAAAGCAATGCTTGATAAGTTGATGAATGAATTCTAAATTATCCAACAATTACTTAGGCATTTACATAACAAGCATTTATGAAGTACAACTAATAATAGCTTTTGGGTTATCTTTTTTATGGGTGTTTGCTCTTTACTCAAAGACTTTTGGAAATCCTAGTACCTTAAATATTCATTGTACAGCCTGGTGAATAAGAGGGGGCTTGAGTATGAATTCTGGTTTACCTGTGCTAACTCTGTGACTTTGGACACATCATAGGTATTTCTGTGCCGCATTTTCCTTATCAGCGAAATGAGATAACAATGATATGGATGTTCTTATAGGGCTGTTTTGAGGACTCGTTAAGATAAATCACATAAGTTATTCATAATAGCAACTGACGTATAATATACACAAATCAGCATTACTTATTCTTCATAATATGAAAAACTGAGTCATTAGTGGTAAATGCCAGTCTCTATGGGAAACAATTTAAAGATACTTCTTGTAAAGGGAGATTGCATAATGACCCCATGTCATAACACAGTTAACAATAATTTTCATGGCTCTGTGTAAAAATGGCTCTAACGATACTCTTCAGAAATCTGTAGTAGTAGAAATTGGCATGAATGGGATTCATTATTGATATGGTTAGGCTCTGTGTTTCCACCCAAATCTCATCTTGAATTGTAATTCCCATAATCCCCACGTGTCAAGGGAAAGACCAGGTGGAGGTAATTGAATCATGGGGGTGGTTTCCTCCATGCTGTTCTCTCGATAGTGAGTGAGTTCTCAGGAGATATGATGGTTTTATAAGGGGCTCTTCCCCCTTCGCTCAGTACTTCTTCCTGTCGCTTTGTGAAGTGGGTGCCTTGCTTCCCCTTTGCCTGCTGCCATGATTATAAGCTGCCTGAGGCTTGCCCAGCCATGCGGAACTGTGAGTCAATTAAATCTCTTTCCTTTATAAATTACCCATTCTTTATAGCAGTATGAAAACATGCTAATACAATTATTTTAATAAACAACCCAGCTAATCTTCCGTGGCTGTAATTGTAAGAGTAACCATCCTATAACATTATAAGGAGAGAGGTTTGTAACATTTGTAAAGACAAATGTTGAAAGATACGTTAGATCGCTTTTGCCTTATATTATTAAATATGCTCATCATTATGGGGGTAGAGTGTAAAACTAACATAAAAACAATCCTCATCAACATCTATGGGCCAAATTTGTTTTTATTTAAAAAAGAAATAATGAGATTCTGATATACCATTCATTGCTATAGATTCCGATGATTTCTAACAGCCATGAGATGCACTGAATTAATCAATTAATTAATTTCCCTTTCTACACTGGTATAGAAGAAGAAAAAAATGTTATTTGCTAGAAATTAAGAAAAATATATGTCTCGATACCTTCGTAAGTGAAGTGCAAAAGACGAAGAAGAAGAAAAAGCATTGGGAAAGCTTAAAGTAAATTAAGAACTTCTAGACTTCATTCCAGAGCAAGAAGGATGAGCACATGACTGTCAGCATGTTTCTGGTGGAGCAATAGTTATATTTAAATTTGAATTTTAAATGTATGTATTCTTATCAGTTGTCTAGCCCCTCAATAGTCTGTGTAAGAGATTGCATTGTCCAAGAAGAGATGAAATTTGGCATAAAAGATGTTTATTTTATGGCTCAGCCCCTGTGAAAAGGAGGAGGAGACAGGACTGGATAGAGGGAAAAGTCAGCTTGGATGTCAGCCAGACAAAGCCTTAGCCCACCCTTTGGAGAGCTTAGCTCAGGAGTATCACTGGTCAATCCAGCCATGATGGGTCATTGGATCAGTGGCACCAGGGCATTGCCTGACCAAGGGCGAGGCAGCTCTCTGCAACTGAGGCATGAAGGAGCTAACAGCTGGTTGACTGTACTCCCTGTAGCTGGACAGCCAGTCCTTCCTTCAAGGGCCGTGTGGTTGTTGTAAGGCTGTGTTTGCCACAAGCTGTTAATTACTCATTTGATTTTTAAAAATCATTTTACCACAGAGTTTTAGTAAACACTTGTTTAAAAATTTTTTTCAACTTAATTTATATTTTTTAAGAGACAGGGCCTCACTCTGTTATCTAGACTACAGTGCAGTGGTACAATCATAGCTTACTGCAGCCTTGAATTCCTGGGCGTAAGCCATCCTCCTCACTCAGCCTCCCAAGTAGCTGGGACTACAGATGCATGCCACAATGCCCAGCTTGTTTTTACTTTTTTGAAGAGACGGAATCTTGCTTTGTTGCCCAGGCTAGTCTCAAACTCCCGAGCTCAAGTGATCCTCCTGACTTGGCCTCTGAACATGTTGGGATTACAGGCATGAGCCACTGCTCTCAGGCTCCAGTTTCTTTATCCATGTAAAAATATAAAATAATATGCTAGTGGTTTGGTTCCAAGCAAATATAATATATCCCTATCTAAGAAGAGGTGTTAATCAGGGTTATCAATACTAGCTGCTATAACTACAATAATATAAAATAAGCCAGTGGAAAGTCCAACTGGCCTTCAGCAGCTGGGCTTACACCAATGATCTGGGAATCCTGGCCTTTTCCCTCTAATGGTACCGTTAGTTGGAGTCCTTTACTGGATCTTCCACATTCAGCCAGCCAACTGGCAGAGAGAGCAAGGAAAATCATGTATGGCCTTACCGTCATGGACATCACTTCTTCCCTAGCCTCAAACTTACCACATAGGAGGCTGGGTATAGGCTTCTTATGTGTCCAGGAAAACAAAATAGAATAAAATCAATAAGCATCTAGCCAGTCTCTGCCACAGAGGGTTGTATAGTGAGCATATGTTTCTGAATGTTTACTCATGATAGTCCCAATCTATTCTAAAATTATTAAAATTTCAAAATATTGCCATTATTTGGAGAACAGTGTCAGGGGAAGGTTAGTTTAATCCAGATGAATTTAGTGTCATGAGTTTATGTGTAAATATTCCAGTATGCATCAATGTGCTGAATATTTCTAATAGGATTAGCTAAATTTAGAATTGGGACTCATTTCAAAAGGAGTCAATCATAATTTTACAGCTTGACATTGATTTAGATTCTAATAAGTATGTAGTTTTTGGGGGACCATGTGACAACAATCCCAACACCTTCCTTTTGTGTGGACTCCAGGTTAAGAAAGACTTGCTCTTAAGAATAGAAGAGCTCCTTACTTCATGCTTGATAAAATAAAATACATATGCATCTTTATTATCTCATTTAATTTTGCCTCTCTAGCCTGTAAATTCAATCAAGTCAGGAGTCACATCTATCCATTCACTACAATATACCCTGAGCCACTGCTGTCCTCAGCTGACCTCCCACAGGCTTGCCAGAACCAATTTTGTCCATTTCATCCCAACTCTACATTCAGTACCATCATGTCGGCAGCTTGAAGTTAACCTTACTGGGTGCCTAAGGTATTTGGGTTGCTATAACCAACTACCATAAACTGATTAGCTTATAAACAGTGGAAACTTATTTCTTACAGTTCTGGAGGCTGGGAAGTCAAAGATAAGGCACCAGCAGATTCGGCATTTGGTATCTGCCTTTCCTCATAGATGACTGTCTTCTCACTGTAACCTCACATGGAGGAAAGTGTCAGTATCTCTTTGGGGTCTCTTTTATAAAGGCATGAATCTTATTCATGAGGGCAACCCTTCAAGACCTAATCACCTCACAAAGGTCCTGTCTTAGTCCATTTTTTACCACTATGACAAAAATACCACAGACTGGCCAATTTACGAAGAACAAAAATTTGTTTTTCAGTGTTCTGGAGGCTGAAAAGTTTAAGATCAGGGTGCCAGCGAGTTTAGTCTGTGGTTTGAAGATGGCACCTGGTTGCCACATCCTCAGGAGAGGAGGAATGCTGTGTTCTCACATGGCAGAAAGGAGAAAGAGATGGACCCATTCCTGCAAGCCCTTTTCATGGCAACCTTAATCCATTGATGAGGGTAGAACCCCCATGATCTAAACACCTCTCATTCCCGTGAGTTCCCGCCTCCCAACACTGTTGCATTAGGAGTTAAATTTCTAACCCACGAAATTTGGAGGGCACATTTAGACCATAGCAGTCTCTATCTCCTAATACCATCATGTTGGTGATTAGGTTTCAACATATGAATTTTGGAGGAACACAAACATTCAGGCCATAGCAGTGGGAGTATTTGCTATACAAAAATCCCCCAACATTACTGATAAGAGCTTCCCCCAACCTTGGAGAGTTGACACACATCATTGACACAACTTACTACATATTTGGCAGCAGCATAATTGTCTCAGGACAAGCTAGATTATGCTGTGGTTACAATTATTCCCCAAATCTCAGGGTCTCAACAAAACAACAGTGTATTTCTTGTTCATATTATGTGTGCTACACAAGGTGATTGTACTCACTGTGGTCTGTTAGGGTAACAGGTTGACAGAGACATCTTCTTTTCATGGCTTCTTTAATCACAGCCGACCTGAGAAAGGGGAGTCCTGAAGCCTCTATCCAGAACTGACTCATGCCATTTCTCTTATTTAATTGACCAAAGCAAGTCATTGGCCACATCTAACCTGATGATGGCAAAGAAATGAAATCCTTCCATGTGCCTTAAATAGGAATGAACTAGAATTATTTGATAAACAACAGTATTAATGGCAATGGAGTAGCATTCAGTAAATAAGAGCATATCCTTGGTAAATAAACTCAGGCTCAGGTGACAGTTTCACTTCCTACCTGGTGGGTGACTTTGGCCAGCTAGTTAACTTCTCTATACTTCAGTCTTTTTAACTCTAATATGCATCATAATAATTGATACAGTGTGTATTAATTAGGCCTTTCAACCAACACAGAGGAAATGATACTTAATACAAAACAGTAGATTAAAAAGATGCTGCTATTTGTGGCCAGAGGCAAGTTGCCTGGGTATTCTGGCTTCTCTGAGGCCAGAGAAGATCAATATTTAGGCACACTTGTAATTTATGCTATGCCAGGGGTGTGCCCAGTACATAGGAAAAGTACATAGCTCAATGAATCTTAGTTTCTGCTACTATTATTTTATTAGTAGCTCAATTAATATTAAATGAATATATGGATATGAGCCACACAAAGAATGTGAGGTTGATAATATTATTTTCCCTTTATAGATGGAGAAACTGAAGATCAGTGGGGTTAGCCTTTACCCAAGTCCTGGGTGTGTAGGAGCCATTTTGAAGAGTTCAATCTGAGAACTTTGACTTCAGATCCAGTGCCTAACAATGAAGCCATAGCTTCCACACGTACTTACATGAGGGAATATAGCAATTGTGTACAGTATGAGAAATCAACTTGAAGTTGATTCCACTTGCCTCCCTTAAATAATCAAGTTCCCTGATGCTCTTATAGGACATTTGTATTTACTTTTGTTTAAAGACTATTTTTAGAACATTTCTGAATTTTAAAATGAGGGTATCACCTCTATTTGGCCTGAAAACATATGGGAAATGGCTTTTTCCTTTAAGATAGATGATATCAAGGAGATGTGTTAAGTTCAGACTGCCCAATGTTTTAGGAAACTTTAAACTCACTCAAAGAAAGAAATGCGCTGTTTACCCCATCACTATGCTTCAAGCACTTACTGTCTTCTCTTGCCAATCCACAGCAATAGATAAGGCAGGGCGTTTCAATTCCATTCAACTCTACATGACATATGCATTATTGGAGATTTCTTAAAGTTGCCCTAAAAGGGAGGAAAAAGTTCATAGAAAATTTATCACCATTGTCCTAATTACAAGAAGGGGCAGATTTATTAGATGGTTATATTTAACAAAACCCCCGTGGTTTCAATAACCTATAAGCTCAGCAACCAGGAAGTGATTTCACTGGTTGCCTGAGTGAGAATGAATTATGTTTGTTATCCCAAGAGGGCTTGTATATTTTCCAATGCAATGAGACACTATTTCTTTTTCTTTTGCTCAAGAAAACAAAGAATTGAAAGACTTTTAATATCATTCTACTTCATTATCTTGATCAGGGTGAAGATTAAACCTGTCTTTAGAGCTGTTAAAATGATTGTAAATCTGATTCCCTTTTTTCTCCTTACCTCACTCGAGCCCCAAATCTCAAGGGTAACAGGAAATAGGGACTAAAACAAAGTCTATCTTCAAAGCTTTCAGCACTATATCTGCACCATGGGAAAGGAAACATTTGATAAAGGAATTAAAACAGAAATATTAATGGATTGGGGTGGGAGAAGGGAAGTTTTAATTCTGCCTGGTTACCTTGCAAGGTCATGCTGAACTTTGCAAACTTCACTTAAACTGCAGAATTACCTTGGAGGTGTAGGAATATGATTTAGCATTTCTTTACACTTAAAAACACGCAGGAGTTCATTAAACGGAATTTGGATTGCCTGTAAGATGTCACTCAGTAAAACTGATTCAATTTTTTTTGAATTTTTTTCCACCTCAGATCTAGAATTTTATTGCCATATCTCTTATTAACACGGTAACATGTGATTCATGAAGCACAGCCTTTAAACACCTCCATGAGTCAAACACATTGAAATACATACTAATGACATTTACAACAGAATCCAGTATGCAAGAACAGAGCAGTTTCACTCACATACAAGAAATCTTTCAATCCTTTTCTGCCATTAAGAAGCAAAAGAAATAGAAACCTTTTCAGGATGGCCATTGTGTATTCAAAGGCATTGCTTCATTACAGTCTTTAAATCTGCTTCAAACAGATCACATTGAACACCTTAAATATATACCACCTTTATTTGTCAATTTAAAATTAATTTTGAAAGCGGCTTCAATTTTTATAAATTGTGGATTTTGATTTTTGTGTTTCTGTGCCAAGAAGCTCACTTTTTTATTTGAAAATTAGAGTTGGCTTGGATATTTAGATTTCCCTATGTTATTGCAGCAGAGAAAAATAAATAAAATGTATTTCAGATAATACGCTGAATGTTAATACATATTCTTTCTTCTTACAATGAACTGGGAAAACCCCTGGAGACCATGCTTGATAAGGATGTGAGATGACAGAGACAGGAGGGCCCCACACAAGAGGCTTCAGGACCTCCTTGCAAAGAGCACAGAACCCGACTGCAGGCAGCAAAAAGAGGCTCAGAACCCTCTTCTGCTGATGGCCAGTCACAATCAGCAAGAAAGCACATCTTGCAGTTTCATTTTTCTTATCTACAAAGTGGAGCAATAAGATTTACCTCTTAGGACATCTGGGAGCATTAACTGTGCTTATTTCAGTCAAGTACTTAGTTTAATATGATGCCTGCAACAGAATGGCTGTATTAGACAGAATAATGCCCTGCCAAAGACGTCTACATTCTAATCCCTGTAACCTGCTAATATGGCTCCTCACTTGACAAAGGAAAATGAAGGTTGGAGATGGAATTAAGGTGGCTAATGAAATGGGTCATCCAGACAAGTCTAAAGGGATCACAAGTACCGTTAAATGTGTAAGAAGGAAGTAAAAGAGGCAGCATCAGAGTGAGGCAGGGCAAGTCTTGATTGGCCATTGCAGACTTTGAAGACGGACAAGTAGCATAGGCCAAGTAGCGTGGGAAGCCTCTTAAAGCTGGAGAAGGCAAGAAAATAGTTCTCGTTTAGTCCAATGAAACCTATTTCATACTTCTGATCTCCTGAAAAATATAGCAATAAATTTCATTTGTTTTACACCCTCAAGTTTATGGCAACTTATTACTGCAGCAACGAGAAACTAAGACACTGGCTAACCAACAAATACAACTTTTTTTTTTTTTTTTGAGATAAGATCTTGCTCTGTCACCCAGAGTGTAGTGAAGTGACACAATCATAGCTCACTGCAGTCTCAAACTCCTGGGTTTAAATAATCCTTTCACCTCAGTCTCCCAAGTAGCTGGGACTTCAGACACACCTCCATGCTGGGCTAATTATGCATATATACTTACAGATTAAGTCTCCCTGTGTTGTCCAGGCTGGTCTCAAACTCCTGGGCTTAAGCCATGCTCATACCTCAGCTTCCCAAAGTGCCAGGGTTACAGGCATGAGCCACCATATCTGACTCCAAATAGAACTTTTGATAGTGAACAAAGTAAGTTTTATGTGAGAATAACAAGTTGTGTCTGATGTGACTCCTTGAGAGTGAATCTTCTTTGGAAGTTTGAACAGAATGTAAAAGAAAATCGAATTTCAAAATTAAGACAGTTCTTCTGGCTGGCATGGTGGCTCATGCCTATAATCCCAGCACTTTGGGAGGCCAAGGCAGGCGGATCATTTGAGCCTTGGGGTTCAAGACCAGCTTGGGCAATATGATGAGACCCATCTCTGAACAAACAAACAGACTAGAGAGGAACATAAACACAGAAACAACACAGTTCTTCAAGAAATTAAGTATCAAGGAAAGGATTATGTCTTGCCAGATCACACCAACATTTTCTGAACAAATAGGCATTTGATGTAAGTTTCACTTAATGAAACCTTCAATGAATCAGCTAATAATTCTAAAAGCTCCCTTTTCTGAGCACTTAAATGTGCCCAGTTCTTTACAGGCCTGTTTGGCAATTACAACAACCTCATGAGTTGATTGCTATTGTACTCATTTTGTACATACAAAACAGGTCCAGATAAGTAATTTGTCAAAACAAATACAGTAAATAAATGACAGACCCAAGATTCAAACTTTTCTCTCATCCAAAAGCCCATGTTATTCTGTGCTGTTACATGTATGTGACTTTCAAGGACAAACCATTTGTTTGTGCAACAAGTATGCCCATATGCCAGGCACAATGTTACTATAGCTGTAATGATAAGCTAGAGATACATGTATTCTGTATTCACAAATAATTAGATCAGCAATATCATAACATATGACCAATACAATGTTGAGGGAAATACAAGGTTATAGAACCATAATAGGAGAATCTGACCCATTAAAATTACAGAATAATGAAAGGTATTCTGAAGTCAAATTCAGGACATGGAGGGTAAGTGGGAGAGAGTTAAGCAAAGCAGAATGGGAGGAAGTAACAGAATAATAGACCTGAAGGCCAAAAAAAAAAAAGTATGTGCCGAATGAAAGTTGAGAATAGATGGAAGGTAGATGAGAAGGGTGAGAAGTGATAATAAATGGGGCTGAAGTGGTGCTAGGTGGGTATACGAACGGAAGTCTGTGCTCCCATCTTATCCCAAGGGCCATGTAAGTGTAAGAAGAGAATGGAATAATCAGATTTGCATTTTTGGTAGATTCTTCTGATTAGCGTGTGGGATGGATTAGCAAGGGAGTATATGCTTCGTTACACAGCTGCCACAGGTAGTATGACAAGGTAATGGCAATGAGAGTAGAAAGAAATAACATTTGAGAAAAGCTTGGTAAGCAGAAGTAACAGAACTGCATTTAAGGGGGATAATTTTGTTTTAAAATAAAAGAAGTTGCATGGAACCAGATTTCTGGTTTAGTTAATTTATACAGAGCAATGAGCAGGAGCCTTTTGGGAGAGGACAATAATGATTTCTTTTTGGGCAAGTAGAGATTAAGATACCTACAAAACTTTTAAAGAGGCAAGTCCACTAGAAGTTAAGCCAAAACCACAGGCTTGATTTTAAAATAGACTTATTAACTGAATGTAGAGTGTGGTTGTTTTTTTTTTAGTATGTAGATAGTAATTAAATCCATGAATGGATGATACAATCTAAGTGTTAAAGTGAGGACTAAATAGATCCAAGGGCAGAGCGCTGAAAACCAGCAACCTTTAATGAGTGAGCAGAGGAAAGGGAACTTGCAAAACTAATATAAGCAGGAAGAGAGAAAAATAAGGGCCTAGAAGGGGAGAAGACAGAGGAGGAAAGTAAGTCAAGAATCATGGAGTGGGTGTTTACTAGAGTTTGAAAGTCAAGGAGAATGTTTGATTGTTTTCCATGATTGTTTATGTCAAATGTCTGCACTTACCAATCCCTTTACCTAAGATGTTCTTCATGCATCTGTGTCTCCCCTCCCCAGCCTTCCATAGAGCTCATTCATCTTTGAAGCTACACCTGAAAATTTCCTTCCTCTGAAGCAAGGCAGGACCTCCTGCTATATGTTCAGTAGCACCCTGGTCTTTTCCTTCAAAGAACCATCAGAATCATGGTAGGTCAGAAATAAGTAAATAAATACATATCTGGCTAATGCCTTGCTCCTTGTTCTATTTTCAGGACCCTCTCTGCAGTGCCTGGCATACAGCAGAAACTCGCTAAATGAAGTCTGCGTGTTTCATATACGAATAACTGGTAACTGCTCAATAAGCATTTGTTATGTTGAGGCAGTATTGAAATTAAGTGTATATACTCTACAGCCATATTGCCCGGGTTCTAATCCCATCTGAGCCACTTCTTAGCTATGTGATTTTTGAGCTATTACTTAACCGTATAATCCTGCAAACTAAGCAGAAAGTCTCTTGGATTCTATTTATGAGTTGTTAATTTTCTCTGTAAGATTTTGAGTCTTTATAATTTCACTCTAAAATCAGTCTTTTATAAAATGACCCCATAGATGATGATCTCTGCCCTATCTTCCCCCACAGAGTTGCAATGAGGATTACATGTGATAATGTACTTGAAAGTGTTTATAAGTTATGAAAACAAAAACAAAAACAATGCTCAATTACTGCAGCATTGATTAGCCCAACTGGCATCTGAAATGATCTTTGATCTATGTCTGGGTTTACTGTTGGTTTAGTTTTAATGACGGCTTCATACTCTGTTGTTTGAACAGCGATTCCCAGACTTGGAGTGGAGCAGGTGGATTCAGTAATAGCTTAACTGTATGTGTATAATAAGGCTTGGCAGTTTCAGTAATATTCACCACGATAAAACAGTGGAGAAAGACAAGTCCCCCTGGGTAGATCTAAAAGTCTAAAATAGTAACAACAATTACTCAATTTTTCTGGCCTTGGAGAGCCATGCTATGTCTGAAAAGCAGTAGAAAGAGGTCCTGATTTCAGAAACATGTGGCCTCTGTTTTGAATCAAAGTGTGATTACTTGGCATGATCTAAAGCTTTTTTGTCACACACAAAACAACAACATACTCCTGGCACAAATACATCTAGGCCTGTTTTAGTATAAGAATGCAATTTGAGCCATTTATCTTTTTAAAAGAGGGCCGAGTTGCTCTGTAAGCAACTGATATGATTCGGATCTGGGTCCCAGCCAAATCTCATGTTGAACTGTAATCCCCAGTGTTGAAGGTGGGGCCTGGTGGGAGGTGCTTGGATCATGGGGGTGGATCACTCATGAATGGCTTAGCACTACCCCTTGGTGATGAGTGAATTCACATGAGATTTGGTGGTTTAAAAGTGCGTGGCACCTCCCACCCCTACTCTCTTGCTCCTGCTTTTTCCATGTTATATGCCTGCTTATGCTTCAGCTTCTGCCATGAGTAAAAGCTCCCTGAGGCCCCCACCGCCCACCCCACCAACAAGTCAAGCAGATGCGGGTACCATGCTTGTACAGCCTGCAGTGCTGTGAGCCAATTATACCTCTTTTGTTTGTAAATTACTCAGCCTTGGGTATTTCTTTATACTAATGCACAGCTGACCTAATGGAGCAACTAACTCTATCCTGAATTATGAATCTCCTGTGTGCAATAGTACAACGATACAGATAATTGACTGCAGGAAGAACTAAAATCTGTGACAAAAGACTAATTTTATGTTTGATGCCAACTCACTTCAAAGTGGCATGTGATTGCCAATCCTCCTGCCTGCCTCACTCATATGCACACAGACATGGAGATTTACTGTCATCCTTTATGCCCAAGAGAAAAAAAAAGTTGTAGATAAACATTAATTTCAAGCACTCTACACAGGAGTCAGCAAACTTTTCCTGTAAAGTGCTAGAAAGTGAGTCTTTTAGGTTTCGCAGGCCATACAGTCTCTGTCACAACTATTCAACTCCACCATTGTAGTGCAAAAGCACTACACATATATCTAAGCAAGTGACTGCAATACAAAAACCGACAGCAGGTCAGATTTGGCCCATGGGCTATGGTTTGTCAACCTCAGCTCAACAGCATCATGTTACCCTTTTGAATATTAACATGTAAAATATGTTTATAATCTGTGGCATTCATAGGTATAGAATCCTTAGGATGTAACATTTACACTGTGGGCTTACTGTTTTCAAAGAAATCCAGGGCATGCCCCAATTTTTTAAATTTATTTTTATTTTTATTTTTACTTATACTTTAAGTTCTGGGGTACATGTGCAGAACGTGGAGGTTTGTTACATAGGTATACACGTGCCATGGTGGTTTGCTGCACCCATCAACCCATTATCTACATTAGGTATTTCTCCTAATGCTATCCCTCCCCTAGCCCCCCACCCCCTGACAGGCCCCGGTGTGTGATATTCCCCTCCCTGTGACCATGTGTTCTCATTGTTCAACTCCCACTTATGAGTGAGAACATGTAGTGTTTGGTTTTTTGTCCTTGCAATAGTTTGCTTAGAATGATGGTTTCCAGCATCATCCATGTCCCTGCAATGGACATGAACTCATCCTTTTTTATGGCTGCATAGTATTCCATGGTATATATGTGCCACATTTTCTTTATCAAGTCTATCATTGATGGGCTTTTGGGTTGGTTCCAAGTCTTTGCTATTGTGAACAGTGCCACAATAAACATACATGTGCATGTGTCTTTACAGTAGAATGATTTATAATCCTTTGGGTATATACCCAGTAATGGGATTGCTGGGTCAACTGGTATTTCTAGTTCTAGATCCTTGCCTAATTTTAGCATCAAAATGTTATCTCCCAGCCAACTGCTTTCACTCAGAAGTGGTACTTCATCTAACTGTGTACCCTGATTTTAAATTTAAAATTTGTCACAGTGGCATAGTTAATCTGATTAACTTGTTTAAAAGGTAAGTTAAGGAGATTTTTTTAATGTTGAATATTCAGTGGAATAAGTAAGTCACTGTAGATAATCCACTAAGTAATCAAAAATCTCTATTCCTTTTTGCCTTCTCTTTTACTGTTTGCCTTCTAAATAGCAAGCAACTTGTCAATTAGTTTAGAAGATATTAATCTGAAATCAATATAAAGTCTCTAACAATTACATTAACATCTCACTTCTCTGTCAGTAGGCAAATATCATTGCATTTTAGGCACCTGAAATGAACAGAAGATTCACCACCTGCCTTCTTTCATGAGAAATCCTCTTCTTATAAAATTATTTAACTTTCATTACTGAAAGAAAATGACTTTATGATTTAGGCCATTGACCCTAAGTACTAGAAATTCTCTGTGAATCTTCACCAGAATCTTCAGCTTATTATACGAAGTACTTTGGAGATTATTAATAGAGATGTAGATTAAAAATAGACTTTTTTTTTTGCTAATATTTTCTTGTTGTTGTTGTTCTTGACCATTTCTGTTGCTCTATGTTGTGATAAAACAACTGGAAATTTTAAAAGGAAAAGATATCCATATGAATGGATGAGAAAAGGAAGCCAAACAGAAAATAAGGAGCACTGAGAAGAGGTTGGGTCTACCTACTGCCCAGTGCCAGAGATTCTTAGAATACGTTAATGGGATTGATTTTACAATTATTCCCAACATGATAAAACCTTTAGTTTTCCATTTCAAGAGCTTTTTCCCTTTCAGGAAATTGAAGACACTAATAATGGGAAGGTTAATTCTTTCCCCTTTGTACACAGGTCAGGCATGACTGGAGACAGATGCAAGCTAGTTTTTTTCCATTATTGTTTTCATGAAATCCAGCTCAGGGTCTTATTTTGCTTGAGCAGTAATCTGATACAGGTGAGTGTTGATGCGGGTTCTCTGACCTACCTTGTTGCAGAACAGCTGTAGCTTCAGTCTGTCTGATCTTGATAAAGAACCTCGGTGCCCTTAAAGATCTGACTGGTCTAAGCAGTCAGGACCAGATAGTGCCTGCACCATTCTCTGAGCTCCCATATGTTATGTAATAAAAATGTTGATAGTTATTTCACCACCATTCTAGAAGAATCATAGCTTTTTGACCTGTGTCAGAAATCTAACTAAAGGCTAAGACTGGTTACATTTATGATAAATATACAAGTAATACAAGTACCTTTACAGTACTTAAAAGAGAATCACACAAAACTATTTTTCCTTTTTTCAAGATGGAGTCTTGCTCTGTCGCCCAGGCTGGAGTGCAATGGCGCCATCTCTGCTCACTGCAACCTCTGCCTCTTGGGTTCAAGTGATTCTCCTGCCTCAGCCTCCCGAGTAGCTGGGACTACAGGGGCCCACCACCACACCTGACTAATTTTGTATTTTTAGTAGAGACGAGGTTTCACCACATTGGTCAGGCTGGTCTTGAACTCCTGACCTCAGGTGATCCTCCCACCTCTGCCTCCCAAACTGCTGGGATTACAGGAGTGAGCTACCCGGCCACAGAACTAATTTTCAGGAAGACAAAAATCTGAAATTAGTCATTTCCTTAAAGTTTGCTTAAGGGGAATGGGCAGGAGAAAACAAAGGGGAAAATTTTTAAGTGGAAGCCTCCACCTCCCCTCCCCATTCTTTTTCTTTGTAAATTACTTCCCAGTTAATGGTGAGAACATGAACTTCCTAGAAGAAGCAGAGACCTGGGTTTGCTTCAGGTCACCAACCCTCTCTTGGCACAAGTCTCTTGGACTGCAAGTCACATTTCTCAGTTAAATATTTTTTAGCTGCACTGCGGCCGACTTCGTATAATCTTTATGTTGTGGACCGTCAGATATCTACATCTGACTATGTTTCTTTTCTAGTTTTCACATCAGACAGTGGCAGTAAAAATTGATGGAATTTTACAATTTTAAACTATGATCAGTTGCTAAGTTAGCTGTGAGTCTGTGAAACCAAGCACTGGCAGTTGTAGGCAGGTACCCAACCAGGAAATTATAGATGAGCAGGAAGAACTGCCAGGCAAGACGATCTTGAAATTTATGAGTCAAAAGAATCAAAAAGTTTTCGGTCCATTTAATCCCACTCATGGTGTTAAATTTATGATTCAAAAAAATCAAAAAGTTTTCTGTCCATTTAATTCCACTCATGGTGTTAAATCTATGCAAATACATAGATTTAATGTAATTTCATTCTGTTGTACTGTGCAATCAGTTAACTGTCAAAAACTCTTTACAAAACTGCCATGAAATAAGTGGGAGCTAAATGATGAGAACACATGGACACATAGAGGGGAACAACCCACACTGAGGCCTGTTGGAGGGTGGAGGGTGGGAGGAGAGAGAGGATCAGGAAAAAAAACTAATAGATACTAGGCTTAATACCCAGGTGAGGAAATAATCTGTACCACAAACCCCTATGAGACACGCTTACCTATGTAACAAATCTGCGCATCCTGCACATGTGCCCCTGAACTTAAACTAAAAGTTTAAAAAAAAAAAAAAAGAAATTCTAATTCTCTTCACCCAGCAGACCCATTTTCATTCAGCTGGGGAAATGCATTCATATGACCAGGTGTTTTTGCCTCTGACTGGGCAATTTGAGTAATGGTAAGAAAAGCGGAAGTCTCAGTTGGAAATTATATGTAGAGAGAGAAGCAGATCATTCTCCACTTTTTCCGCAAGGTAGATTATGTTACATTCTCATGTCAATGACTTGGACTCAATACAAAATGAGATGTAGAAAACTGCCAAGATATATCTCTTGTTCTCCTTTAACAGTAAGTGTCAGCGGATGGCCGTTATTAAACACAAGTTACTCATTTGTCTTCCTTTTTAGACGAACACGATCTGTTATCCCACTAGGGCCTTTTTTCAAAAAGACGGGCACTGCAAGTCTTGGCATTGCCTGCACCTTACTCCAGTCTTGCTTCTGACAGCAGACGGGCATTATCCCCTAGCAGATGGAAGATTTGGCTTGTGTTAGATTCTTTATTAGTGTGTCTCTGGTGCATGCACAGAGACGTTTTTAAAAGCAAGGTGATTGTTGACACAACATAAGTCTGCTGTTCTAATTTGGAAGAATGAGAACTACCGTTGAACCACAATCAATAAACAAACAGGAACGGCTGTCTGCAAAACTTCCCGATTAGACTTGGGAGTGTTGCATTCACTGATCTGAAAATGAGCGTAGCTGTTTCACTCATGTGGATGGACAAATTTAAATGAATCAATACTTTCCTTGGACTAGAACACCCCTATACGTGTCTACTGCCACCAACAGATATTCAGAAAAGCCTTAAGTTAGTTCTTATTTCTTTCCTATGATTGTTAATTATAATAATTCAGATTTTTGTGCCCACTCAATTCATTTTATATGAGTCATTCTGAAATGGCTTACCACTTTCATAAAAATAGGTAATGACTAGCATCTGTATTTAGTAGGCCCAATAAATTTTAATGTAAACAGAAGTTAATTTATTATCTCTAAGAGATTAAATGCTTTGATTTTGAAGAGCAAGGTATAAACAGATTTAAGGCTACTAGAAAAAATGAGTTTTCTATAAAATTTAGTTAAAATTGATTGTGTACAGATGATATTTAGACATATTTGTATCAAGAATCTTCAATCAACATTAAAATGGAAAGTAAGAATGTAAAGTTGACCCTCAACATCATTTTCTCCTTCTGCCTCAGGTGGAATTTTCTCACCCAGAAACTCATACACACACACACACACACACACACACACACACACACACTTGTGCACCCATACATACATGGCAACTCATATCACACATTGATAGTTCTGATACTCTTTCATAACACTGCATGGGTTCAAACCTACTAAATATTCACATTAGCAAGTTTCTGTGTAGAGTGCAGACCCTGTAAAATAACTAGATAATAGACTAATTTGACCCCATTACCTCTAGCACCTAATCATATTTATGTTTAAGCAACATGCAGCTACAGATGTCATATTACAAAGAATATCACTTATTCTTTTCTATTGCACATATTCTAAAAATTAAATCTGAATGTTCCATGTTTATAGTTGTTTTAGTTATTGCAATGGCTTTCCAAATGGAGTTATAATAGCCATCCTTTCCACTCTCAAATTTAGTCTCTGCATTGCTAATAAAGTAGTCTTTATGCATGCAGGATTTGATCAATGAGGTCCCCTGCGTTCAAATCCCTCTGGTTCCAAATTTCTTTCAAAATGAAGTACCACTTCCTAAAGTAAGGACTCCAAGGCATTTTGCAAACTGATTCCACTGTATCTGTCCTGGCTCATGGCTTGCTATAAACTTTGCTAATCCTGCTCCTTTGCGTCTCTTATGGTCTTAAGGGAGACAAAATAATTTACAGCAACTCAAGCATGCCATGCAATATATGTTGAGTGCTTCCCATGCAAAGTATGCACCTATGCAATAGATTGGTTGAGTACTTTCTGTATGCCTTGTTCTGTAGTCAACATGGGATAAATAAACAAGAAAATATGCGAAAAGAGATACATGATTCTTCTAAAGGCTGTTTTGATGTCCCCATGTTGTTTTGACCTGGCCCAAAACATGAATTATTGGATTTTTACATTTTCATGATTTTTATCTTGACCTGTATAGAAATTATCTTACCACATTCCTGGGCTTCATGCCATTGCTCTCACCATCACCCCACTGAAAGGAAAAATGACAGCAAGGGATAGGGAGAGGTTCATACATGGAGTGCCAAATGGAATATAGAGTTAGGCACCATTTAGATTCATTTGGCACATGTTTCTTTTTCAGATAAAACCATCGGTTAATTGTTCCTCCTCCAAGAATTACTTGTCCCTGGAATTGTGTGCATCTCAAGTTCTCTAGTTCTTTCCTTAAAGTTATATGTTGTTGAATGAAGGATAGCTGGACTGCAATATGATTTATTTTTCTTGTGTCCAGAGTACAATTACTAAGCATCTTCTAAGATTTTACTATTGCACATATGTTTAATATCATTAAGGTCTTACATGATAAACCCTGGGGACAGAATTGAAATTTTGTAAATACTAACTCGGTTTGAATTGGGCTTTTGAAAATATCTCCATCACTTTTAATTTTTAAAAGGGATATGTTGTCTAGTAAAAAATTCAAATAATTAAACAAAAATAACAGAAAATAATCTAAAGTAGGAACGGGGTTATGGGCATTGTTTTGTATACATTACTTCATAATAAAAAGGGATTTTTTGCACATTGATGTGGACATTGTGATGAATCCTGCTTCAATTAAGTTCAAGAGAGTCATGTATAATTGTAAGTGTGTAGTAAATTTGGATAAATTATCTTTTTTTCATATTTTCTTGTTTATCCCATGTTTACTACAGAACAAGGCATATAGAAAGTACTCAATCCATATATTACATGGGTGCATATTTTGCATGGGGAATCTTACATAAGGAGACTGCCAAAGTGCTATGAGAAAAAAAAATCACCTAACTACTCTTTGTGGGAAGAAAAAGGGACTCAGAGCAAACAAAAGAAAAAGGTAACCATTAAATTATAGCTTGAGGTCTAGTCAGAGATTTACCAACAATTTGAGAAGGAGGAAGGACATTCTATGCCAAGGTAGCAAGCCTGCACAAAGACCTCAATAGAGGAAAGAGTCATCATTTTAATGGAAAAAGAATGATTTAGTGTAATTGAACATTGAGCTTTATCAAGGTCCAGATGGGATTTCTGGCAGATCCAATTTACGTGTTCTGAGTTTCAATAGATTCACACAAAAAGTAAGACAGTAAATCTTAGAAAAGTCAACTTTTATCAAAACAGCTTACAGTATAAAATGTCACTTTGGTAGGCTGACAATTGTCCCCAAAGATATATCTCAATCCTAGTAACCTGTGACTATGTTGCCTTATGTAATAAAAGAGATTTTGCAGATGTGATTAAATGAAAGATCTTGAGATTTTGAGATTATCCCGGATTAACTGGGTGGGCCCAATATAATCACAAAAGTTCTTATAACTAGGTAGGCATGAAGGTCAAAATCAGAGAGATGTGAAGTTGGAAGCAGAGATTGGACTGAAGTCCTTTGGTGGTGGTAGAAGGGGCCACAAGTCAATTAATAAAGGTAGCCACTATAAGCTAGATAAAGCAAGGAAATAGATTTTCCCCTAAAATCTCTAGAAGAAACAGTTCTGCCAATATTTTGATTTTAGCCCTAAAGATCTACTTCAGACTTCGACCTCCAAAACAGTATGATAATAAATTTGTGTTATTCTAAGCCACTAAGTTTGTGGCAATTTATGACAAGAGAAATAGGAAACTAATACACTCACTGCATTGGATATCTCTTTTTTCTGCTTTGTTTTACCATTGACGTTTTTCTTAGAGTATTTAAGAGACTAGAAAGTACATAAAGAATGTACGTGGTGCAATACTTGCTAGCATATTTCTCCTTGTGTTTTCACTTTTGTGAAACAAGGCACATCTACTAAAAATAACTTTGAGAAAAGGAGTTCAAGACCAGCCTGGGCAACGTAGTGAGACCCCCATCTCTAAAAAAGAAAGTAAAAATTACCCTGGCATGGTGGCATGTACCTATAGTCCCAGCTACTCTGGAGGCTAAGGCATAAGTGTTGCTTGAGTCCATGGGTTCAAGGCTGGGGTGAGCTATGATCATACCACTGCACTTTGCTGCTCTCTAGCCTGGGCAACAGAGCAAGACCCCATCTCTAGAAACAAAACAAAACAAAATCTCCAAAGGGTTATAGTAATGATCAGTGATACAGATCTTTGAACAAAGTAAATGGCTACTTGGGATAGAGAACCCTAAGTCAGTAGCTTTCACTAATGGAAACTTATGATGGCTAGCACAATTGTGAAGAAAATGTTGATATGAGGTGGACAGAAGCTATCAAAACAAAAAGTAACTGAACCGTACACAGACCAGTAGCTGCTTCCTAATTCCTCATAGTGAAATTTCTTTGAGTAGTGGAAGACAAGAGAGATACTTGTTTATTCATAGCCTTTCTTGAGATTAATGGCCTATACATTTTAATTGTTTGCTAGTTGCTGGTATATTTTTCAAGATGGCAGGGATTCAATACTTTTAGAGGTAATAAATTGTTCAATTGTGCTAAGTATATTTAACAAATGGAGGAAAAAATAAAAATCTGGATATCATCGTCACAACAAAAGTGCATTGACAGTTACTGAGTGTATGCTTACCAAACTAGCAGAATGTTGTAGGACCGCAGCTTATGAATATTTACTCAAATAATCCAGACTGTTTTGCTTGAGGTGATCTTCAAGTACCCTTGCTAGTGTGTAGTTTACTCAGCCTAAATAAGTTGATTTGGGAAAATGATTAAAAATCTCTAGTATGGTAGGCTACTTCCTTGAGAGTATACAAATGCAGGATTCTTTCAGCTGGCCAGCATGCTTGAATTCTCTCTCTCAGCTCTTGGGCTTAGCCATGAGCATTCCATAAAAGGCTGACACGCTCTGTGTTCTGTAACTTCCTGGAACTTTTCTGCAGTGCTTTCCAAGCTAACAATTCTTAACCCACCCTTTCACCCTCAGGTTGAAATGCAATTTTTGTTTTAGCCATTTTTTTTTTTTTTTTTTGAGACGGTATCTCACTCTGTCACCCAGTCTGGAGTGCAGTGGCATGATCTCGGCTCACTGCAAACTCTGCTCCCAGGTTCAAGTGATTGTTCTGCCTCAGTCTCCCCAGTAGCTGGGATTACAGGTGCGCACCACCATGTCTGGCTAATTTTTGTATTTTTAGTAGAAACAGTGTCTCACCATGTTGGCCAGGCTGGTCTTGAACTCCTGACCTCAGGTGATCTGTCCACCTTGGCCTCGCAAAGTGCTGGGACCACAAGTGTGAGCCACTACTCTTGGTGTTTTTGCCAATTATATGTTTTAGATACCATGGTGGCATTTTACCCATTCCTACTTACCCTGCCTTTCAGTTCTCTTACACACTTGGGCCAAAAATGAATTTGCTCTTCACTCCCTGCTTCTTCATCACAATCATCCAATAAATTGTACTGCATTCCCAGCTCTGGCTCTTGAAACACAAACCTGGGCCAAACCCTCAGCCCTCAGTTGTTCTAAGGAAGAGATCAGACCCCAGTTACATGGCTCAAAAATGGAGAAGGTCTATTGGTGACACAGATGAAAGATCAATGATTTTTCTTAAAACTCAGCATAACTTGATGAGAGTGATTTTGAAACTTTAGATATTCAGAAAGGAAAAGAAAGAGAGGTGGAGTAAGGATTCAAAAAGGCTAAATTGGGCCTAAAGTCTGACCCCATTCAAAATGCCAGATTCTCCAATGTATGTGGGTGTGTCTAAAAGAGCAACCTGAAGGCCTGTGCTCTGGTACACATTGGCCTAAGAAGTCACATCTGGCTAGTGGGATATTAAAAATGTTACTCCAATGTGCAAGTTACAGCCGAAGTCAAGGAGATGCAGCTTCTTACTTTCCAGCCATTGGGTAACATTAGAAAGTACAAAAATCACTCTAGTGGGGAGACTCAGTTGCTCTACAAAGGCAGAAACCTAGTAAGATCACAAGTCACCATGTCAGGCTACTATTTGGCATAAGCCATCATCCTGACCCGATAGAGTTTTGCTTGAATAGGTGGAGTCTGGATTTATCTTTCTCTAGCCATGTTTCATTTTGTGATTTTTGAATAGAGATAAAGAGAAAAGAGATTGGGAAGTAGGAAGAGGATTGAGAGCAGGATCCACGTTTAGGGTTTTGTGCCATTGAAGGTCAGAGGCAGAGAGAGTCGAGTGTGGTGGCAGTGTGGAAATAGCAGCTCAGAAATCTACCTGGAGACATGAGGAATGCAGTAGTGATTAACAATGGAGCTGAGTCCCAGGTTTCTTAGGATGTGACATTGGACCACCTGGATCACAAGTTTGTAGGGGCAAAGTCCAAGACATCTGAATTGTATTAGGCACTCAGCGGGTCTTTCCTGTATACTGAGGTTTCAGGACCTCTCGCCTACTGAAATGTGAGTGGAAAAGTGAATACAAGGCATGCAGTTGGCAGAAGGCACAGGAATTTGGGAGAAGTGATTGAAAATGGCACATACTCTATACTCTGCATAGTAAGTAAATTTTAAAATATATTCGATTATGTATTTATAATATGTTATTTTTAACTTATAATTCTGTGGGCAATATATTCTATTCCAAAGATAGAATAAGGTGTTATGAAGCGTAGTGGACATAAAGTCAGAGGTCCTGGATTACAGTCCTAGTGTGCCATTTATTGGCTTTGTGGGGTTGGCAAACCACTTGGCAAATCTCAGAGACTGTTGTAAGGACAAGCGAACTCATATGCACGGGTAGACTGCCAAAAATATGCACACAAAATAATGATGATTATTTTCTTTGTACTGTTAACATTTCTAACTAGTAATACATTATTTTGTAGACAACAAGCTTAGTCCTATAGAAACATATTTTACTAAAAAAAGCAAATAAGATTTATTTTTCTAAAAGGTAAAATAGAGAAAATTTCAGATAATAGAAAGCACTGGAAATTCTGTCTGCAAGTATTTTCCTATCTCTGTATCTCTGCAGAATTAAGGCAACAGCTAGACAAGAAGATAATAGGAGACACTTTAGGGTGTTATGTGCTGTATATTTTATAGCTTGACATAAAACATTCTCCTTTCTCAGCAGCTCAGATAAGCAACTCCCGTGACTTCCGAAGCATTACCCAAGAGCTGATGGGCTGGATGCCCGAGAGTCCCTCTAAATAATTGAGTGCCTGTGGTCTAGCTCCAGAAAGCACAATTATGTTCTCCAGAAAGGCATTGATTTGCCAAGTCTAGTTACACTCTTAAGAGTTATCCACTTCACTTAACAAGATTCCCTTTATGGAAAAGGAAAGAACATTCTACTCATTTATCAGTAGATATTGCACAAATACCCTTCCTGGCAGCTGTTGCAATTTGGTATTGTATGTGCTAATTCAGATTTTTTAAAAATCATTTCACTCCCTGTCTAACATCCCTAGGCATGGACACTTTGAGTAAGACCTTCAACCCACCGCTGCCACCCCTTGCTGTCATACTCTCCAATAGATTGGGGTTTTCCCCACTTGGCAACTTCTAAATTATTTTTTGCTTACTTAAGGAAATGATAGAGAAAGAAAAGGAAGACTATCGTAAGTCTGTAGGATGGAGAACAGAGAATTCAGAAGCTGTTGTCAAGTGTAGCACATCTTTGGATAAATTACCAGAAGGAAAACAGTAATATTAGTAATAATACTATTTAGATTGTAGGTGCTCGTGTTACAGAAAGTATGCTGAATGATCTATAGACATACTTTCACTTACATATTCCAACAATCTCATGAAATAAAAATGAGATGGAAGCCAGTACAGAAAGGTATAGTGACTTGCCCAAAGTTCCACAGCAGTAAATCACAGTCAGAATATCAATTCAGATAGTCTGAGTCCAGAATAAGTATTTGGCTATTTCATACAGTTCTTGCACTAATTACTTGGAATTATTTAGAATTTCTCCAAAAGCTAAATGTTACTCGTCCCTGTTGGTACAATTTGGCTAGTGGGCAGTTGGTTCTCAAGGAGATGATTAGTTTGCTTAATCCAATAATTGTGGATTTTTCTGGCTAAGTAATGTTCTGTGATATGTACTATTTTTAAAAATGATTCCTGTAGCTATAATTTTCCTAGTCTAGACTGGTGAGAGATACACACACAAAAAATATTCAGTTATAGGTGGAAAACCCGATTAACCACCAAGACAATATCACTTTAAGAATATTCACCTAAGGAATTCATAACAAATGTGAAATGAACTGATGAAATTGTAAGATGTTCTTTGATTCCTGGGGATATAATTAATACATCTCATCTAGAATGGGAGGGAAAAACATCTTGAGTCTTAGCTAATTAAAGGATAGATATAACCTTGGTCACAGAGTTGAAAATAACTTGTCACTTACTCCACCTTTAGGCCACTGGTATTTGGAAACATCATTCTTTTAGTGGTTGAAGACAATTTTCTACAGTCACGGTGTTATAGTAACAAGGCTTGAATTATCAAGGGTTTTCATCACTGCAGGAATTGTGCTAAATACTTTACTTGCATTACCTTGTTTTAAACTTATAATGTCTGTTGGGTCAATTTCACGGATTAGGAAATGAAGGCAGAAGCATTAAGTGATTTGTCTAACTTCACATTCCTGGTAAGTGGCAGAGTCAGGTTTCAATTCTAGGACTCCTGATAGCTATGTGTCTGTATTACTTAATGGGTAGGTCCTGATGCCTCCAGTCGTATTATAGGGTAGGGATGTTGATTAGGAGTCAAGGGATCTAGGATTTGGTTTCAAATCTGCCACCCACCAGTCAGGAAATACCATACAAGTTACCTACCACCCACTTTCAGATCCAGACAACACCTGCCCCACTTCTCCCACAGTTTGCTTCCATTGCATAACAGAGTTTTCTTACATGAAGGATTTGATAACTCATAAGGATAGTTAGGCTCTGAAAAATATTTTCAACTAAAACCCAATTAAATTAATCTTTTGCTCTTCATCCAACATGATTAGACTTGAATTGCATATTATGGAAAACGCTACCACTTTGGTAAAAAAAGATATGTAGGAAAGAACATCCCAGAAAAGAGGAATGATGTGAGCAAAAGTGTATAATTATTTTGTAGCCCCTCCCCCAAAATACTGAATAAGAATAGAGTTCAATGTAGGCATTTGATAATTGACATGCGATGTAGTTTGGATTTAACCTGCAGGCCAATTGAAAACACTGAAGATCTTTTCACATGAGGTTGTGTTCTAGGCCATTGCCTGTTTTGTGGTAGTGTTGTCTAGGACAAAGTAGGAGAAGGAAAGAGGAAGGCCAAGCAGACCAATAATCCAACTGCTGTGCTACTTGAGGTATGAAGTGATAAGCTAGAGAAATGGCCATGAAAGAGACTGGACAGATGTGAGGGGGAATATGAGGGCCCTGTGTAGATTCTGGAGACTGGGCAGTTATCCTAACAGAGAGAAATAAAGGAATAAGGAAGATTTAAGAATTCTGAGGCCGGGCGCAGTGGCTCATGCCTGTAATCCCAGCACTTTGGGAGGTTGAGGCGGGCGGATCACGAGGTCAGGAGATCGAGACCATCCTGGCTAACATGGTGAAACCCCATCTCTACCAAAAAATAGAAAAAATTAGCCGGTCGTGGTGGCGGGCGCCTGTAGTCCCAGCTACTCCACTCGGGAGGCTGAGGCAGGAGAATGGCGTGAACCCGGAAGGCGGAGCTTGCAGTGAGCTGAGATCGTGCCACTGTACTCCAGCCTGGGCGACAGAGCGAGACTCTGTCCCAAAAAAAAAAAAAAAAAAAAAAAAAAAAAGAATGTTGAGCCTGAGTGAGTATATGGGAAAAAGAGATGAAATGGGAAAAAAATAATTAAAAATTTGGAGTAGAAATTTCCATCAGGAAGAAAGATGATGTCGGAAATCTTTTGTGGAGATGGTAAATGGGCAGTTGAAGGTGGAGAATCAAAACAGCTTGAATCCCAGGGAAAACTATGTGAAGCCGTCTGGGTTTTGGTATGTTTAACAGCAAAGCCATGAGAACAGCTGAGTTTCCAAGTCTGCCAAAGAATGACTGGGCAAGGCCTGCAGCTCAGTGTGTCTCTGTTTTTGAAGGATTGGAGAAGGAACAATTCACGAGAAGTTAAAAAAAAAATGGGTCTTGATTAAAAAGATTCATTAATCTGAAATTATATGACATGTCTGTGTATATACAGATATATACACACATATATAATGTATATATACATTATATATGTATATATACGCATATATACTCATACAGACACACATGTGTATATATATAAAAAATATGTGTGTCTGCATGAGTGTATATATATATGACAATTCCAGAATGAAAGATGAGGAGGAAAACATAAACAAGAATCAACTAAACTCTGGTACTTTTACCACCTTTGTTAATACCCTTGTGTTTTTCTTAATATCTGAACAGGGACCACTTTCTATAGGTAGACAAATTGTCAGAAATGTCTTCTATGCCCAAATGCATTTGTTTTTCCCAATGAATAATTTTCCTTTATGCCTATTTTGGCATTGCTCATTACATAATTTCCCTCCTCATCATCTCATTTTGCTTCCAGAAACATATTCTCAAGTGCCTGTCTGTGTAATAAAAACTGTCTGTGGATGCTGCCCAACTCTTGATTATGTGCAGAATTGCTGAGCTGTAATGCTGCTTCTGACTCTAATATTTCTAATGCATCTTGGAATTATACCAGCATTAACCATTTATAAAATACCAACTGCCGCTTAATATGTTGAAATTTATGTGATTGCATTTCACTTCTTGCCAAAACAACAGGACTTTCTGAGATCATTTTTTCTTTCTTTGGTTTCTGGGAGAATATAATATTGAGACCCATGATCAGTTGTCAAGTGCAGGCTAGTGGTAGTTGTTTTTTCCTAAATGATTTTATGATATTGAAGAATTGCCTCAGGTCAAAATGTTCTACAGAGAGTAATATGTGAAAGCATATATTTTATATGGTGACCTTTCACCCCGTTCCACTTCTCAGTGTCTGTGTAAAGTTTAGTAACATAGTACTTAATAAGGAAACGTAACATTGCATTGAAAAGGCAAATAGTGGATCTATTTTGCACTTGGAAGATGCAAAATGAGGTTGGGATAATAGGTTCAAGCCCCTTCTCTTTTTTTTTTTTTAATATTTAAGCTAGAATCAAAGGTAGAGAATATCATGGTGAAGCATGGTCTGCCACTGATCAAAGAGTGATAAGTAGTATTTCTCAATCGCTCAGGCCATTTCTACATACATAAAGGTGGGATTCAACATGCTATGGACACTTAGTCATAGAGAAGGTCAACTGAATATTTAGACTTCCTTATGAGCTTTGAGCTAAATAATCCCAGTCTGTTATTTTCTTTGATTGCTGTAATATTCATTTGTGACACAGAAAAGTATTTCAAAATAATGTGTTTATTGGGTCTTCAATAAAAGAAAGATTTCTCTGAACTCGAGGTTGTCAATCAGGTTTTGTAATCTAAAGAATCATTACAAATATTGAGCAAGCAAATAAAAACGAAACAATATTTATCCTATCAGAAAAAAGAAAGAAACAATTGATTCTGCTTATATTCATTCTACAGCAAAAGTCCGGAGATGTAACCTTGTGAATTTATTGCTTCCATAATAGCTATTTTTAGTCAATCGATAGGCAGACACATTTAGCATTTATGGAGTTGAACATGGTACTAGTTTCTGGGGATAAAAACCAACTCTAGAATAACTCACATTCTATGCAGGTTAGAAGGAATAAAGGAAGGCTTCCTTGTAGAAGAATTTGGGTGGGGTTTCAACAGGCAATTAAAAGCTTTTCTGGAGGGAAATGGGAAGAAGAAATAAAATTCTAGCAAAAGGAAACAATGTGTATGAAGGCTTGGAAATTGCTTTTTGTTAAATGTATTTGTTTGTTTCACATACTAAGAGTCAGAGAATAGAAATAGGGAGAATTGGCCAGTTGTGGTGGCTCACGCCTGTAATCCCAGCACTTTGGGAGGCCAAGGTGGGCGGATCATGAGGTCAGGAGTTCAAGGCCAGCCTGACCAACATGGTGAAACTCTGTCTCTATTAAAAATACAAAAATTATCCCGGTGTAGTGGCACACGCCTATAGTCCCAGCTACTCCGGAGGCTGAGGCAGGAGAAACGCTTGAACCCGGGAGGCTGAGGTTGCAGTGAGCCAAGATCGCGCCACTGCACTCCAGCCTGGGCGACAGAGTGAGACTCCATCTCAAAAAAACAAAACAAAACAAAAACAAAACAAAGAAATAAGGAGAATGATGAGGGAATATCAGTAGAAAATATTAAGGAGGTTCTGATATTTTAGTGTCTCACTCAAGATGAGATAAAGTAATTGCCCTACTCGTAAAATTATGATGTAAACGTGAAGGACATTTAAACATGGTTCCTGGAGAAATGTCTGACATGCAGAGAACACTTTATCTCCAAGATTTTAATAAAAGCTGTTAGGGTAAATATTACTTCTCAGCCAATCAACTTAACCTTGAAGTTGAGCTTCAAGATCATGACACCTGTTACTTAAATCAGTCCAAGCATAGTTAAGTTCATGGCATTTGCCTGAGGAACAGCCTGTATCTGAAGGAATCTCATAGATTAGTCCTCCAATATAAAATAAATCCTTCGTAGATCTGACTGTTTAAGATGTAAAATTTTAAACCTGAAGAATCTCTTGAACCACTGATTCAGGATTCTGCCCGCGTGCCTCCTCAAACATTTTGCTCTCAGAGCTCTGGGGTAGGTCAGGTTAGGGCTACAGAAGACCTATGACAAACCCCCTTGTCCTTCCCTACCATCCAGAATGTTGACAGAGAGCCACCACTGCACACTGAAAAACATATGTAATTCAGGCAGGACCATGTGTAGCTAAAATTCTAAAAGGACTTCATAAAACTACCTGAATCAGCAGAATAATGACTCATCCAAAATGCTCAAACCTTAATAGGGCAAAAAGAGACGGCTTCATTGTCCTCCTCAAGATGGGGAGATTATTCTGGATTACTCTGGTGAGCCCAATCTAGTCAAATGAGTTCTTAAAACTGGAAGAGGGCCCGGGTGCAGTGGCTCACACCTGTAATCCCAGCACTTTGGGAGGCCGAGGTGGGCAGATCATGAGGTCAGGAAATCGAGACCATCCTGGCCAACGTGGTGAAACCCCGTCTTTACTAAAAATACAAAAAGTTAGCCGGGTGTAGTGGCACGTATCTGTAGTCCCAGCTACTCCAGAGGCTGAGGCAAGAGAATCGCCTGAACCAGGGAGGCGGAGGTTGCAGTGAGCCAAGATTGTGCCATCACACTCCAGCCTGAGTGCAGAGTGAGATTCCGTTAAAAAAAAAAAAAAAAAAACTGGAAGAGGGAGGCAGAAGGTTGAGGCTAAAGATGGCAGCATGAGAAGGACTGGAAGTGGCCTTGGTGTTCTGAGATGCCGTGACCACGTGCAAAGACCCAAGAGATCCCCCTGGGAGAAAAGATTGGCCTCAAGCCAACAGCTGGTAAGGAAATGGGGCCTTCAGTCCTATAACTGCATAAAAATGAATTCTGCCAACATCTGAATGAGGAAGAAAGAGGCTCCACCCCTATCGCCTATAGAAAGGAAACCAGCCCTGTAACTCCTCGGTCTTAACTGAGTGAAGTTGTGTCAGACTCTTGAGCCACAGAAATGCAAGGTCTTACATTTTACGTTGTTTTAAGCCACTACGTTTTTGGTAATTTGTTATGACTGCCTAGAATCCTAATATACCACCAAAATGTGTGGCAAAAATAATTATTCTATTGACATTTAAGAAAGGGATGGGAAGGATACAATTTTTAGGAAAGAGTTCTACTGAAGTGAAATTTGAACTAGCTTTGAAGGACTCCGGAATATGAACAGGGTTTAGGAGGAAATAGTCATTCCTTCCAAGCAAAGTTCACAGAGAAGAATCTGAGGAGAGGCCTCTGACTAAAGCAGAAGGCTTGTGTGGGGAAGGAGTTGGAATGAACTCTGGATTAGAAATGTGTTCTGGAGGGCTTTGCCTACAACATGAGAAATTTGAGCTATCGGAGGAAATTCTTATTTCAGCTCACCCCTATAGAGAAGCTATATGAGTTTATCTGCTTGCTGCCTAACATGCACTGACATCATTGCATCTTGCTGCCTTCTCACACGCCTCTTCAGCAACATCAAGGACAACAACCAACAAAAAGAATTCACATTTATTGAGTGATGACTGAATACTATGCACTATACTAGGAACTGTATTCATGTTATATACTAAATCCTCAAATCCTGTTTTTAAATGAATTCATTGAGGCTTAGAGAGATTCAGTTAACTCACATTAGGACACAGAACTACCAGGGACAAATCCAGTGTTCAAATCTAGAGCCCAGAGTCCCAGCTGTTTTATGCAAGGCCATCTATGAACATCAGATTTGCATTTCATTTTTCTTGCCTGGAGAATATTTTATTCACGTGTGTTTTATTAGGCATCTCTAGATACAATAAAGATTATGCATGCTGACATATGTATAATCAACTGTTTTAAAAATGAAACTGAAAAATAGATCCAGTCATTCAGACCAGAGAGAGGCTTATAATGACCACAGCATGATTCATCCAAAAATTGTTAATACGTTATGGCCAAAAACTCCAGCTGGTTACAAAAATGATTCAAGGATCAAATATAAACCTAAGCAAATTTGCATCTGAGTCTAAAAAAACACCTGGCGTTTATGCAACTATAGAGACTACTATCCCCACAGTTTTATCTGTAGTGAAGTGCAGCTGGGACCCCAGCGTTGAATAGGTTAATAGAATTGCTTTTGTTTTATTCCGTTGAAATATCTCTCTTTGCTCCCATCATTCTCCATAGATTGTCATGACCGGAGGTAAACTGAACATCTGAAAAGGACCTAATTAACATTGTGCGCAAGTGAAAGAATAAATGAATAAATGAATAAAAGAATGAATGAGTACGGATGCTGAGAACTGAGATGTGGCATTTCCATACTGGCAGAAGCTCCGAAAGAAACAGTCATCACTTCCTGTCCTACTGCACGCAATGTGTTAGGCAGTGCTTTGCTGAAATCCAGAATATAAAGTTAAACTTTATGAGTTAAAAGTTTGAACTTTTGAGCGAGATGTAATTAAGCACAAATTAGTTTGTAGAATCCTAAATGTCAGTGCATCTAAACAAAGTACATCTATGTTTATTTGAAAGCAAAAAACGATGACACATTTTTAGAGAATTAAAATAAACTGATCATTGAAATTGAATTAATTTTTAATGGTAAAATTAATTTGAGTGAAGTAGAAAGAATGCGGCTCATAATGTTTTATTGATGATGCATAAAAATGATCACAAGTCATTACTCATTCACTTGAAAGCCAGCGTTCTTCCAGGAGAATAAATTTCTGTTGTTTTTGTTTGATTGGATTTGATTTATAATTGTGTTCGATTAGGTAATATAAGTAAGTATAAGAAATGTCAAAAGGTTAATCCTCTCATCCTCATCCATTGCTACTTTATTTTTCCTCTAGAGGCTATTATAGTTTCTTTTGTATCCTTTCAGAAAGCTGTATATCTATACTATGCCTATAAATCTACCTATCTAAAACCTAACCATACACGTAGGGTATTTATTACTATAAAAGTCAGCAAGAGATGGTGGATAAAACCTACTTTTCCACAGCTAATTAGAAGGATAGCATTAACTAGAAATACCATTTGACCCAGCAATCCCATTGCTGGGTATATACCCAAAGGATTATAAATCATGCTACTATAAAGACATGTGCACACGTATGCTTATTGTGGCACTGTTCACAATAGCAAAGACTTGGAACCAACCCAAATGTCCATCAATAATAGACTGGATTAAGACAATGTGGCACATATACACCATGGAATACTATGCAGCCATAAAAATGGATGAGTTTATGTCCTTTGCAGGGACATGGATGAAGCTGGAAACCAACATTCTCAGCAAACTCACAAGGACAGAAAACCAAACACTGCAAGTTCTCACTCATAGGTGGGAAATGAACAATGAGAACACTTGGACACAGGGTGGGGAACATCACACAGCAGGACCTGTTGGGGGGTCGGGGGCTGGGGGAGGGATAGCATTAGGAGAAACACCTAATGTAAATGACGAGCTGATGAGTGCAGCAAACCAACATGGCACATGTATACCTTTGTAACAAACCTTCACGTTGTGCACATGTACCATAGAACTTAAAGTATAATTAAAAAAAATTTATGTGGCTATGAATGACAATAAATGGAGCTGATGGAGTATGCATTATTGCTATTATTTAGCCTCTGTACTGGGCAAATAGATTGTATGGTAGTTAAAATCATGGGCTCAAAAACCAGACTCCAGCAATGAGCTGTGTCACTACTCTGTGCCTTGATGTGTAAAATGTGAATTCAAACAGTGATACCTGAGAGGATTACTGAGACAAATCAGGCAAGCAAATTTTAGAACAGGTCAATAAAAATTGATAGGGAAGAGAAAAGAAAGACAGCAAAGGTGGGCCAGTGAGTGTTCAGAAGATGGGTCAGTGAGTGTTCCGGTGTGTGCATGTGTCCTTAAACTCAAGAGTGCTTTGAAAAAAATCTTTATAATTACATTGCCCATTTGCTTTCAGAAAATGAGATTATTTATTCATTTTTCAATCTCAATTCATTTTTCAATTAGAAAGCTCATTTACACATTTGGAATCTGTCACAATCGCAAGGATGTGGAACCAACCTGTGTGCCCATTGACCAATGAATAGATAAAGAAAATGTGGTATATATACACCATGGAATACTACTCAGCCATAAAAAGGAATGAAATAGTGTCTTTTCCACAACTTAGATGCAACTGGAGGCCATTATTCTAAGTGAAATAATTCAGAATACCATTATGTTCTCACTCATAAGTGGGGGCTAAGTTATGAGGATGCAAAAACATCCAGAGTGATATAATGGACTGACTCTAAGGTCTCATGGAGCGGGGTGAAGAATAAAAGACAACATATTGGGTACAGTGTACACTGCTTGGGTAAGGAGTACACTAAAAATCTCAGAATTCACCACTAGAGAACTCATCCAGGTAACCAGCAACCACCTATACCCCCCAAACTATTGAAATAACAAATTCGGAATTTGAGATTTAAAACTTGATTCAAATACATTTCTTATTTTTTTCCAGCAGTGTATTGAAGTAATGAATGAAATCATGTTAGAGTTTTCAAACCTCAAAGGCTTAGACTCTAAGTGGTAGGTCAACAAACTATTGCTTTCCTATGGTTCTAGCTTTTGCACTAATTTACTGCTCCAGGCCATTATGACTTCTTTTTCTTTAGAATCCCATTGTACTTCTTTAACCTTGCTTCATCTGCTCTCTCGCATTTGATGATTAATAATAGAGGACAAAAAATATATATTTTTTAAATACCCAGGTTTCTCATTATCAGCCACAGCGCATCAATATGAAAATCTCTTTAAAGGCAAGAAAAAATGCTTTCAACAGGAACAAGTGGACCTCGAAGCGCACGTCTCTGCCATATCGGTCGTTATCACTACAACCAGCCATGCTTCCATCTCTTTCATATTACCAAATGTAGTGCTGACAGAGAGGTGGGAGAAACTTAACCTTTTGGCAAACAGTAGATAGATATGAAAATAGAACCAAGCAAATATATCCAGTTCCCCATAACCTCTCCTCAAAGGACCTCACTAAAGTTGATATCACCTTGGCTCCCATGACAACCCCGACAAAGATAAATAGGTGTCAAATATGCATTTGCTCCTAAGGCCTCTGGGAATTGCTACCGAACACAAATGTGAAATTCAGGCTGAATTAATCTCCTGATACGCCACTTAAAGAAAAAGCCACAGAATGTGGGCTTGCCAACCTCAGCAGCCGCTAGTCATGCTTCTGTAGGGCTGTCAGCACTCTCTAAAAAAGTAGGTTGATAAAATTAAGCAAGCAGTTTCTGCTGGCATTTTCACACCCCATGAAACACATGTTCTGTTTATAATGCAAACATGACTTCAGAGTTATGGGATCTTTTAAGGATTTATGCTGATTAAAAGATTTCTGATCTCAGGCTTATGGTCTCAAAATGTAAAACTTGGTTGAGCCTACAGCAAGCAAGCTCGGGCTTTTCTCTGAAGAGAAGTTTAGACAAATATCTAGCAAATTTGAGCCACGAAGTTAATCCTTCTACAAAAAGCAGTACTTTCCTTTGCCCTTCGAACACTCTAAAATAAATTTCTGGTCCCCGACTTAACATAGGTGCAACAATCAAATTCTGTTTAGTAGGGGTATTGTCTGCTGTGGAGAGAAAAAGAGCCTAAAGTGGAAGCTATTTTGGGGGTCACTTTTGCTTTTATATAATGTGATGATACCAAATAAAAACAAAAGTATTGTACCTAAGACAAATTCCACCAAATGTATGTATTAGTTACACTCAGTGTAGTACAGTAATTAAGAGTTAAGCTTTAAAATCTGATGGTCTGGCCAGGCATGGTGGCTTACATCTGTAATCCCAGCACTTTGGGAGGCCGAGGCGGGTGGATCACGAGGTCAGGAGATCAAGACCATTCTGGCTAACACGGTGAAACCCCATCTCTACTAAAAATACAAAAAATTAGCCGGGTGTGGTGGCGGGCGCTTGTAGTCCCAGCTACTCGGGAGGCTGAAGCAGCAGAATGGCGTGAACCCAGAAGGCAGAGCTTGCAGTGAGCCGAGATCGTGCCACTGCACTCCAGCCTGGGTGACAGAGCGAGACTCTGTCTCAAAAAAAAAAATAAAATCTGATGGCCTTTATCTGTTGGTCTTATTTTTATCTGGTTTAAAATGGGGACAACAATAGTAGTATATGCTTCACTGAGTACATATGAAGATTAAAGGAAATCATATCTAAAAAGCAAAGCTCACAGCACAAGATGAGACACATATTGCATAGTCCATATATAATAATAAAATATATGCTATATGAATGTAGAATAAAGCAGTCAGTAGGACTCAAGACTTCTAGCATATATTTATTGCACATATTCTGTATCCTGCATGGTAAAATTACTGTCAGGATGGAGAAACTCTAAGGAAAGGAGAGAAAGTTGTAGGTTCACAGAAGATGATAGGTTCTGCAGAAGAACCAATAGTGTAGCAGAGAGATTGCTAAGATTCAATATTCTGTTTTCTCCATGTCTCTGAATGTCAGTACTTTTCTCTCCAGAAAGGAAAAAAGCTGAGAAAATGGTTATATTCATGTTAAATAGAGCTCAGAACAGAAAGAGCTTATAACCTCTTCCTTTGGCCAATAGAGTTAATTCAAATTTTTCCTCCTCCTCTCTTGCTGTTTTAGGTACTAACCCAAAGTCTCAAAATGATACTCTGACTGTCTCCTTGCAGTGTCCTCTGATAGCAAAATGTCAAGTAAAGGGAATAGACATAGGCCAGAAACCTTGGGGGTGAGCCTAGCTGTGCAGCTTATTAGCGCATGACACAAAACCCTCTGATCCACAGCTTCCTCACTGAGCGTGGAGGTTTAGCTGACTTGTGGCTGTTCACATCCAGGCACTTGGCTATCTAAGTACAAAAGAAATTGTTCTTGCTGTATTTTATTATTTTTCCTTTCCAGAAAAGTTATATTTATAAATGTCATAGTACATAGCTGAAAAATGACTGAAAAACTAACCTGAAATTGTGTAGGCTATAATCTCAGGCTGCTTTGAGCTTTTGTTTTAGAGAATTCTGGAGGGCCAGGCTCTGTATTTTTTTTTTAATTTTCACATAATTTGTTCAGAAAAGCACAAGGTGAAAATGCCTCAATCTTGGACAAAGCTGTCCTACTTTCATATAAAAAAGGGAATATTAAAATGTGACAATTGTGATTATTGAGAGAGTTTAGTATAGCTGTGTCCTCGGTCGAAAACACTCCTGTTAAAATCATTGTTTTTTCCATCCAACCTCATAGGTTCTTAGGAAGTCATAGGCAATGGGAATGACTCTTGAAGGTCATTTTTCTTAAATCAACCATACCTTCTCTGTTCACCTTCTATCTAACTCCCCTGTCTTGCTTTCTCTTTAAACTTTACATGACTGAAATGGAATGAATCAACCTACTCTGAAAGCCCATTTCCCAGTCCCCAGTGGGCTCTATTTGAACTTTATTACTTTTAAAGTATACATCATGCTTCCAGTAACATGAAAAGAAAATGACCTCAGAGTGGCAGCCTCTGAGTTTAAAAGATTTGGACTCTAGAGCAGAAAATCTCTTGTTATGCTCCTCAACTGAAAAGGCTGCAAAGCCTCAATGTATGTTGAAGAGTTTTTATTCTCCTGTAAGAAAAAAAAAAAAATAGAGGATGTTTATATCTTTGCTGAAATCCTAAAAAGACCCAGGTAGAAAAGTTTCCATTCCAAGTCTCTGTTCCTGTTGTGTCATTTTAAGTAGAATAAATGAACAGGATCTGATCACAGTCTTGTGAATGTGAAATAACTCTTGAGTGATGGGAAACAGCACAACCACCCCCTTCTGTCTGCATCACTAGTCTCCAGGGGTACCCTGGAACACTGCCCATGGATCATCATTCTTCCCTTCCCATCCCTACGGTTGCTTTGCAATGAGGCTGATACATGGAGCTCAGGCATTTGTGGCACTCGGCCTCCAAAGCATTCTGGACTGGGCTGGGGGTGAAGAAGGTGATTCAGAGCCAAAGCACGGCTCTGCTGCCAGAGGTCCAGTACTGATGGCTGCTGCCTGGGTTTGCCTAGTAAGGGCTGCAGTCTCATTTCAACAGTAAAAATATTAGGGAGGAAGAGAGGTTGAAGTTCCTAAACCTACCCTCATAAACCATCACCTCTGACTGTCTACCCTTCAGTCCTGCTGAGTGGATTTGGGTGCTTCTCACTGACCCCATTCATGTTCTAAATAAGCAAATGGATGCTTGGTTTAGAAAGATCAGGTTGTATGGAAGTGAACTGATCTAACTTAATTGTTGTGAGGAGAAGGCCTGACATCTGTGGGCAGGGAGTAGGGTCTCTATGAAAAGTGCCCATTTCTGAAATCAGTTACCTAAAGAACAAGCCAAGTATCTGTCAGTCTTAAATGGGGAGGGTACCTCTGTGGGAGGTGAGAGGAAGCTTCAGCGTCTCTCTCAGCTGGGCTAAGGAGCACCTAGGCATCTAAGATTGTGCCCTGGATATCACATATTAAATATGGGATTCAGCACACAGAACAGTGGTTCTTTTTGGGGTCATAAGTCTCAACTATGGGGGCTCTACCTAGAAAAAAATGCATGTAATTATAAGCATACCTATTTTGCAAATAATTTCAGGTATTTGCAGGATCACTGAGACCCATTCCTTGGACCCCAAAGTAAGAAAGATGTGAGATGCTGGAACCTGGTGAAGGGGAAACCGAAAGTTTCCATTTGGATATAATGATCCTGCGACTCAGACAAGGAAGCCAGATTTTCTTGTTCCATGGTGATTTCCCTGTAGAAAAGATTTTCAATGTAAAGAAAATTTCAAAGAAAAGGCCTTTGTTATGTTTCAGATTCAGTTTAGTCGACATGGCAAAATCAAGGGAAATATTCTTGGCGAAGAGGAAGCTCCCTCCCTTTCCCTTCCCTCCATCCCTGGGCCAGTACATTACATGGCTGCAATCCAGAGAATTTTAGAGACAGGGTTTGTCCCTAATACCTGATATTAAACTCTGATTTCTTTGCTAATCTTGGGATGGCTGAGTCATAGTATATAGGCTAACTTTTCACATTTTGGGTCCTTTTGTTTGTTTGTTCTAAAAATTTCCTGCTCAGTGTCTCCTGGTTGCCTATAAACCTGATTTCCAAACTCCTCATGATACAGTTTAAATAGCAGGTATCCCTACTGCCTTATATGTAAACACTCAGCATCTCAAACTTGCCCTCCAGTCAAAGGTCAAATTACTTTAATCACTCATATAACAGAAAACATTG